>NC_000004.12:110739562-110891077 GCF_000001405.40 Homo sapiens
GTATCTTGTAAACAACATCTTCCAAACTGAATTCTTTATTCCCATGCAACCAAGCCTTTGTTTCTTCCAACACTTTATCATCTCAGTAAAATCCACCAGAAGTCTACAAGTCAGCCCTTATTCCTCTCTTCCCCTAATTTACCATCCATTTCTCTCCATCTGCATTCCTGCTACTATAGCCCAGGCTACCATCATTTAATATGGAACTAATTTAAACAGCCTCTATCTAATCACTCTTCTGCCCCTCTTGCCTTCCCCTCCCTCATTAATTCTCCACATAGTATCCAGAAATATCTGTATATATGAAAATAGGATCATTTAATTCTCCTGCTTAAAACTCTTCTATGAATTCCTATTGCACTTAGATTAAAATCCAGACCTATTCTAGTGACCTTCAAGGCCCTCTGTAACCATGTCCCTGCCTCCCTCTCTACTTGTAGAACAGCATCCTGGGACCCCCATTCCTTACTCACTGCTTTCCATCATACAATTGGCTTGAATTTCTTGAATAGACCAAGGCTTTTTCTGTGTCAGGACATTTTCACATCTTCCTTCTGTCAAAAATGTTAACCTAATAACATGGTATAAGGAAAGACATAGTTAAATCATATTGTGGACTGGGCCACTTGGGAAGCTCTTTTTGTGGCAGGGAAGTTGGGATGCTCTCCTGGTCCAGTCATTTGGGGTTCAGTGAAGTGGAGTCGGCCAGGTGGAGGATTTCTAATCTATACATGTGTATGGACTGAAACTATAGCTGGTGGGTGGACCTGCAGCATTAAAGAGTCCTCATAAGGGTGATTTCATGCAGATAATTATTCCTTGGAAAGAGGATATGGTCAAAATTCTTTCCACTTAAACCATTGATTCCTTTGAGTTTTATACCCATTCTGAGGAGAATTGATTTAGTAACATATAGGTGAAAAAGACATGCTAGAAGCTGCTTTGCATGCAAAATAATAAGTGAAAATGAATTGTATTAATTGATGTCCCTGAGATTACCCTTTGCTTTTTTAAAAAAATAATGCAACTTTTAAATATATATTTTCCAATATCATAGCTTTTATTTCAGACCTTTTCTTTTGTGATCATATTCTCATGTCCTAAACTTTAGTCATTTGCATTTCATCTTTAGGATTTTTGAAATATTTCTGTCTCATTTGTTTTAGTGTGTATGTGTGAGAGTGTGTGTGTATTTCTAACTTAATATTAACATCTGGAAAAGCATGAGTTTGATGTTTTAAGTTACACCTTTCTATTTATAACAAAATGCATAAATAATACCATAAATTATTTATCTAGGTACCATGTAAAATTGTGATTCATCAGTATGTAAGTACCACTTTTTGAAAAAGCTATTATATACCATCCTTAAACTTAGCCCTACTTAGCTGACATAATTTGACAACACATTTACCTCATTTAATTTTGTCTTATTTAAGCTAAGATTAAAAGGAATTAGTATTTTCTGAGCATGCACCAGTTGAAGACATCAAAGATACTATGGAAAGCATGAAGCCAGGCTGCAATTAAAATTTTGCCTTATGTAACAGAAAAGATGTAAAATATACCAGTGAATAATAAAGGAATGTAGTTTACCAAGTTATATCTATCTCTCTATATTTATGTTTGGAGTTTTGCCCTTATTGATGACCCTGTATGGAAAAGACTGGTCAATCCTACTTAGCATTAATCCTTTGCACGGGGAGACTACTCTTGGAGACTGAGTGTATTTTCAGTCTTTACAAATGATGAACTATTGAATAGATCACACACACATGCAGATGAACCCAATTTCATGTCTAACAGCATATATTCATTTTATTTCATATATTAATCTATATATAAAATATGAAAGTTGCTTTTCAATAGAATGATGGATGGCTGATGATCTATTTATTATTCCTTAGTCTTCCTTTTGATGAACTACACCTATTCACTACTCAGACAACATAGTTCGGTTGGGACCTCTGGTAATAGAACAGATCAAAGTTAATTGGACTACATGGGAATTGAATTGAAGATCGACTTTGACCTCATTAGCACAATGATATAGTCAGCTAAGGTTGTAAGATCCA
The DNA here is from genome assembly GCF_000001405.40 of Homo sapiens. Lineage (NCBI taxonomy): Eukaryota > Metazoa > Chordata > Mammalia > Primates > Hominidae > Homo > Homo sapiens. The sequence continues at coordinate 110,741,638 of NC_000004.12, forward strand.
ACACTCATGGAAACACTCAAAGGAAAAACTCATTTCAAAGGGAAGTTGGATGTATGGTTAATATACCATGCAGCTTTGTAGATGAAAGATTAAAAAAGAATTATAGAACTATCAGAGAGCAGATCAGAAAGCAGGATTTTTATCTTTGCATATATTTGACTCAGTTTCCCAACTAATACTAAGTGTTGGGAAAATACTTAGGAAGCAGGGCTAATTCATCATGGTATTAGAAGATACGGTCAGACAGAATGACACTGCAAACTGTCGTAATCACTCTACAAGCATCATTGAAACTATGCTAATTGCATCTGTACCAGTCACATAATGAGAATGGCCAATGCTATGCAGTGGATTAAGGGCCAATTGTAAGTGGAGAAGGTAAGAAAACCCTGCAGAGGCATATTTAAGTTATGCACATTACCATAATATTATCACAGAATGGAAATAAATAGCAAGCCAACCTTTTCTGAATGCAGTAACCAGATACTCTGGCTATTGTTGTTTGACATGGATATTTAACTTCAGCAAAAAGACTATGTTAAATGGTAAAGTTAGGAGGAATAGGATTTCCAAAGCAACATGCTATAGGGGGTAATGGAGGCTGCCTTTATTTAGGAACAAGATACAAGTGTATAGAAGTCTGTGGAGTGTATTTGGCCACATTTGCAGACACAGGAAATAGCATGAGTGCAGAGTCATCAAATGGCAATTCTCTATATAGTTCTGACCACATCTGAAAACTTGTCTTTCCTCTTTAAAGACAGGAAACTTCAGTTTTTCTTCCCTTCCTTCTCTCTTATTCCCTGTTTCCTTCCTTCAAGACATGTTATTCATCCCTATTTTTTTCAAAATAATTTTATTGTTGAATTCTTTCTCCAATATATCTTGACCTTGACTTCCCTTGTTTGGTAGCTATGAGTTTGTATTAATGATATGCTACTGGTAACAATGGTTCACATTCACAGTCTAGGCTGGACCTTTGAGTAAGTTGTCTGTCTTAATCAGTTTGGGCTACTATAACAGAATACCATAGATTGGGTGACTTAAAGAACAAACATTTATTTCTCACAGTTCTGGAGGCTGGGAAGTCCAAGATCAAGGTGTCTGCAGATTTGGTGTCTGGTAGGCGCCCACCTCCTCGTTCGTGGATAGCCATCCTCTCACTATGTCCTCACATGGTAGAAGGAAGGAGAGCACTCTCTGGAGTCTATTTTTAAAGGGCACTAATCCCACTCATGAGTGCTTTGCCTCCATGACCTAATTGCCTCCAAAAGGCCCTACCTTCAGCTATCATCACATTGGGGGGATTAGATTCTAACATATAAATTTTGGGGGGACACAAACATGCAGTCCATAGCAGTGTCGGTTCAGCATGATTTGAGGAATAGGAATCCCCTCTAGACTGCAGGTACCCCTGACTGTTTACCTAAAATTAAACTATTAGAGATTAATTTTTCTATTCAGTTAATATTTATTAAATGGCTATTGCATGCTATGCCCTGTGATAGGTAATAAAAATAAAATATGCAAAAAACAAAGTATAGTCTTTGTGTCACGGCAGTTTTAGTTAACGCAATAGTAGCAGCAATTATCTTTTGGACTTCTAGGCTCCCATTCAAAAGCAAATATCTCTTGGAGTAAATATCAAGACTTTAGCCATTAACGCTTTAGAGGGGATTTGACTTCAATCTAAGAGGAAGGCTCTGTAGAAGCAGCTTTTGACTTAGGCACTTGGAAGCTAGGACACTGGATGAGAGGAAATGCTATTTTGCTTAAAGCACTGATTTGCGGGGGTGCAAAAGTGGTGAGGGTGACTTGAAGACCTGATCTACATACTGAGAAATAAGAAGCTAGAACCTTCATTTATTTGCCATTTTTTGCCCATTATTATTGTTTAGTTGAGGATGTGAAAATTAGATTTCTGAGTCACTGAAAATTCACCTCAGTTGTCCTGTTTTAGTCATTAACATTGTGTTCATTTTTCAGATAATCTGTTATGGCTTTTCATTTTCTAATGTATGCTTCCCAAAATTGACTATTTTTTTGACTGTTTACATATTAATGCATATTTTCAAAAACTATAATTTTATCTTAAGTGTGTAAGATCACTATACTAACAGATTTGAGTTAGAGTTTGCAAAATTTTTAGCTTATTTACCATTTTTAATCACAAAAATATATGCTACTTTGAATATTTACTTCTTTTTATACCAATATCTAAATAATTCAAGAGATAAAGAAATAAATAGAATAGAATAAATAATAGCAAATATGTTGAATTCAGTGACTTTAGATCATTGAATATTTTGATATAAAACAATGTTTTTTTTTAGTTGATAAAAGCACAATTGTTTGCAATTATATGCTTATTATTTTGATTATATTATCTTAATGAGTTATTATCCTATTGTATTATTTTGGAGCCCAGCACAATTTGTACTACGTCCAGCTAATCAAATTGGTTATTTCCCCTGAACTATGGGATAGGTAATCTAAATAAATTCACTTAGATATTATAATCATGGTAAAGATCAGTAGCAAACCTTTACAATGTTCAAATTCAAGGCCTTCATCTCCATTTGTCACATTCCACAAAACCTCCCCTTCCTTCTCTCTGACTTTATTGGGACTCACCTACTCATTCATTTTCTTCAAACCTGCCTCTTTTTTTCTCTCAGTTGACTATGTTTTGTCAATTGTACCATAAAGATGTTTTTTCATGCTCATTGGTTCATTTCCATCATCTCTGACACTGTTATAATTTAGCTCTTTATTTTTTTCAACCAGAAATTTGCAAGCTCTTCAAGTACTTCCTTTGCCATCAGTGCACCTCTCTGAACCTGCCCTGCCTAGAGTTCAGCTCTGATAATAATACTTCCCACCTGAAAAGCTTTCAGGGGCTCTCTCTATTGCCTACAGAATAAAGTCTCAGACCTTGGGTTGTCTTTATGGACTTCAACAATCCAGCTACAATTTACATTTCCAATGTTATCTTCCACTATAAGTTCCAATTCTCATATTTCTACACACCACTCCCATTTTTACCATGTATTTTACCCTCTAAGAATTTATTCCCATGATTTCTTCTATCTGATTGCCCCTTCCCATTCTCTGACCTTTAATGTTCTGACCCATTCCTTGTAAAACCACCTCCCAAGAAAGTTTTCCTACCCTCCAGCAGAAGGCAATTTCCCTTTTCTCTCTCCTATTATTTCATAAATTATGAAATAATTTTATTTCAGAGTAGCTGAAGCTGTTCTGTTAGTTAAATGTATCCAGACATGTTATTAATTAGGTGAGGGCATATTATGCTGTGGTAACAAAAAACTCCACCAAATCTTAATGGCTTAGCTGTGCTCCATGTTGCAGTTCAACTTTCAAGGCTGCTTTTGACACCTCTATCTCAAGAAATGCTTTCGCAGTTGTCACAGCAGAAGGAGCTACATGGGAATCACACACCAGCTCTTAAGTGCTTCTTTCTGCCTGGAATTGATACACATCTCTTCACTCATATTTCATTGGCCAAAGCAAGCTACCTTTAAGTCGATAGAAAAGTGTAAAACCTTTGAATGTGCAGAAAAGAGAGAACCAGAAATATTGGTGAGCACTATTAATTTTTTCCTTCCCAATCTGTATACCTTGTCTTTCCTTTAGTTGTATTATTTCATTGGGTAGGACTTCCAATAAAATATTGGCTAAGAGTGGTAAGAGATAAGAGAGAACATCCTTTTTGTCTTGTTCCTGATCTTAGGGGGAAAGCAACTATTTTTTTTTTAACCATTGAATATGATATTAACTGTGGGCTTTTGCAGATTCTCTAAAAAAAAAAAAACTCAAGTTGAAGAAGCTCCTATCTAATCCTAGTTTGCTGAGAATTTATATCATAAACGGATGTTGAGTTTTGTCAAACTTTTTTACTACATTTACGGATATGATCATATGATTTTAATTTATTCTCTTGGTGAGATGGATTACATTAGCTAATTTCTGCATGTTGAACCAGCCTTGCATACCTAGAATAAATTCCACATGGTCATGATATATAATTCATTTTGTACATTGTTTGATTCAATGTGTTAATATTTTATTGAGGATTTTCACATCTGTGTTCATGAGAGATATTGACATATAGTTTTCCTGTCTTGTAATATCTTTGTCTAGTTTTGGTATTTGGGTAATGCTGATCTTATAGAATGAGTTAGGACGTGTTCCCTCTGTTTTTATTTTCAGGAATAGATTATAGGGAATCTGTTACCATTTCTTCCCTAAATATTTGGTAGAATTTACCAGTGAAACCATCAGAATCTGGTGCTTTCTGCTTTGGAAGGTAATTAATTATTGATTCAATTTAAAACACAAATATAGGCCTATTTAGATGATTTATTTCCCCTTGTGTGAGTTTTCACAGACTGTGTCTTTCAAGGAATTGGTCTATTTCACCTAGGTTATCAAATTTGTAGGCCTACAGTTATTCATAATATTCCTTCATTATCCTTTTAATGTGTATGGGATCTATAGTGAATGTTCTCACTTTCATTCCTGGTATTAGTAATTTGGGTTTTCCTTCTTTTTTTCTTGCTTAGTTGGTCTGGAGGTTTATCAATTTCATTGCTCCTTTCAAAGAACTAGCTTTTATTTTCATTTGTTTTCTCGAATTTTTTTTGAAAAATTTCTTTGATTTCTGCTCTAATTTTTATTTTTTGTCTTCTGCTTACCTTGGATCTAATTTGTTCTTATTTTTCCAGCTTCCTAAGATATCTTAGATTATTGATTTTAGATATTTCTTCTTTTCTAATAACACTATTAATTTCTATCATAATATATGTGAAAACTATCGTAGACTGTACATTTTTGAAGTCAGCATTTGTGATTTATTCTTCACTGTATTTTTCTAGGTCAAAGAGAAGCACCCATAAACTAGTGTTTTCCAAACCTCAGTCATTCCCAGTCCATCTTCACATTTTTGCCATAGTCTTGTGCCATTTATGATAATACTTAACTAATTCTTAAAAAGGAATCACTTTTAAAAAACTAAATCAACATTTTTAGAATGGGATTTTTAATACAACTATAAATGGAAATCAGGATCTCTTCCCATGTAGGAATCTTGAAAAATATATATTAAACTCTATAAAATATTTACTGAAAATATGAAATGAAAATATTACTTGGCTACTATCTGAAGTCCTCTTAAATACCAGAGTTATCTTTGTGGTATTTTGGAAATCAGTGAAACAAATACAAATGAAAGAGGATACAAATGTATGCCAAAGTTCTACACCAGAGATTTTAAACTTTTTACTTTATTTTCTTGGGGTTAAATATAGGAACTTAGGGTAAGCATTAATAGAACGGTTACCTTAATGTGAAGGGAAAAAAATATTAGATTTATAGTAAGAAGACATGAATTTAAATGCCCTGTTTTTCTACCTCCTTGCTGCATGAGACAGAAAGTTCCACAGAATTTTTGTTGGTAGAAAGAATCAATGATGTTCGCTTGATTATATTGTCAGATGTAAATGAGATAAATTACAATTATGTTTTAAAATTGTCTAGTTTTATGGGAAAAGGATTATGATTCTGCACAGATATGCCTGTATCTACCCTTTTATAATGTAGTATTCAAAGTGTAGCATAGGCAGTTTTTTTTAAGCAACATTTGTGCAACTTTTTTTTGAAATGAGTACTTGACCAGGGGCATAGGTAGAGTTACTAAATATCAAAAAACAAGATTCATATTAGAGATCTTTTTAATGAAAATTAGTGGAGAAAAAATTTAGGGTAAGGACTGTTGCCTAGGAATATATTTATTTTTATGATTTCCTTAAATACGAAAAACCAATTCTTTGCGGGTGTTCACAGTTGGAGAATGGTTGTAAGTTCTACCTGCTATTTTGGTAAGTCAAACCAATATAGTCTTATTCATCCCTTTTTCTATTTTCCAAGTGTTCATTTTTTGCTCCTTTTTTATTGCCAGAATTTTCTAAAGAGTTATTTCAGAATTGCATACAAACAACATGATTCACCATTGTTTGGTACCATATAAGCAAAAAGCCCTAACTGATTAAGTGCTTTATCCCTTAACTGAAGGATTGACTTCTGAGCCACCATACTAAGTAGTTGGAGTAAGAGGTAAAGTAAATTAGCAAATACTTCATGAGCCAAATGGGAGTACCTCATAAGATAAAAATTTATTTTAGTTAAAGTTCCTTGAAATATTTTTCTAAGAATCAAGTTTTAAAAAAAGATACATTCAGGAGATTATTTAATACAGAAGCATTGGAAGATTTTGTCCTCATTGATATAATGAAGTCACTCTTTGGGCTGGATGTCAGTCACTGTAGTTTTTGAGGATACAGAAATGTCTGCATTCTGAAGTGTAAACAAAGGAGTAAATAAATTTATTTTTTACATGGCTTGATGTAATAGTATAGAATCTAGACATGGATAATAGATGCAACTCAGTCAACATGGATAACCAAAGTTCTTAAAACTACGCTTTCAATGAACACATATCCTTTGAGCAAGACTAATAATGAGGAATGGGAGCCAGCTCCTGTGATATTTATGCAACTACTAAATTCTCACTGAAGTCAATGGGAGTTTGCTTACGTAAGGGCTGCAAACTTTAGCCTCCAGAGATTAAAGGGGAAAAAAATCCTTAAACTCTTTCAACATTAATATTGCCTGTAAGGAATCCAGCCATGACCTAAGCCATGGAGCTTTCTGAACCTAGCAAGTAGAAGGGTAAACAGTAAACACCAGTTATTTTAAGCACAATCTAATCAGAGTTCAATGAGAAGCAATATTATATTTGATCTCTAAGGTATTAATACTTGTATATCACTATTAGACATCTTTATGTAGTCCATTATCCAAACAATGGCTTAAGTCTGTGGTATTTAATAAATCAAGTTTCCATGGCCGTGAGACTGAGTGGGAGTGGGGATGAAGCCTTTTTTCTTCATTTTTTTTTCCTCAGGTGCAATTCTGTGTTAATATAAGAGAAGTGTGGCCTTCCTTCTCATAGCACTAAAAGTGAGATAATCCCTGTGTAAGAAATCAGTAAGTACGGTCTGCTTAATCTAGTCCCAGTGTGAAACTGTTGACATTTGTTCTTTTTTCTATCATTATGTGACTGGGCCTGTTTTGTGCTGGATTAGGCACAAATCTCCTATGCAGCACATTTGGCATGTTACTAGTAGTTTAACTTCATTAATAATGTATGAAGAAAATGTAATCCATGACAAGGAAGCAAAGAAAAGTATTTTTTTTTTTTTTTGCTTCTCCCAAATCCTTTGGAATGAGTAATTATTCAACATTTTATGTTTGATGTTATATTTTACAATTCAACTTCCATAGTGATATTTAAAAAAGAAACTTTGGCAAATGCTTGCAAAAAACACACCTTTTACAATTTTAAATGTGATTTACTGATGGCCAGAACTTGTTAAACATAGTAGGAAATTAAATATTTATTCATCTTATTTCATTTTCAGGGCCGTAAACGCTCCTTCTGAGTCATTCCCAATAACAAGAATTTCTACCAGTAAAGCTATTAACAGGCATCAAAATAGGGGAGTGCTAAATTAAGATGAGATTGTAAAAGCAAATAAGAACATACGCAGACTCGCATAGGAGTGCAAATGATCGTTTCTGATTGAAATGTTTATAGCTAAATGAGTTTGGCTGAATTAAACACAAATGTTCCAAAAGATAAGCCGTAGCTGGTGCTTCTTTTTTCTGTTTTTTAAGCTGCTTTACAGACGAAAATGGAACTATATTTGGAACAATGCTTTCTGTTTTTCCATACTATTGATATTTGTGGAAAGTCACAAAATGGCCTAAGGAAGCTAAGCTCGCCCCAAGCAGTGGTCACTTACAAGTACTTTTGTACTCTGTACTCCTGTCACATTTGGGCGATCAGAGCAACAGCTGGGGAGACTTTTTCAACAAAGATGAGTGTCAGATAATCCTGATGAGATTCCACATCCAACATCTTTTGTAATTATGTCACATTCAGCTGTAATGGAATAATTCAAGCTGAAAGAACAAGCTTTGATCCTTTCTTAAACCTTTCCCTGTGGACTGGCTATCTAAAAGATTTAAAGATATTTCTGTTACAAGATCTAGTGTTTCCTCAGAGAAGTCATGCTTCTGAAGCATCGTGATCTACAAGAACAATATCAAGTTTGCCAAACACATTTCTGAAAGCATCGTGTTTTGGGGGGAGGGGTTGTATTTAATGAAGATATCAATAATATGCTATGCTTCAATTTTCATCTAGGTGATCAAGATTCATTTTCTTGTTCTGTCATCCAAATAGGCAGACAGAAAAGTGATTGAAATACATTATGGAGATGTGTCATTGCACATATAAAGCATCTGTGTGCAAATTCATCTTTTTTTATGCCTGTGCTTATTAAGTTGTGTTTTAATAGAAACTGACCTAGTGAAATACTAGCTATGTTGTAGAAATTAAAAAATAAAGTCATCAAGATACTAGCAAGTTCCAAATTTCTCATCTATAGGGGAATTTTTGTGCAAAATATTTATATTTTACTTTTATTAGGTTTTGTATTAAACTAATTAAACGGACAGATTGAACCTAACACAAGATTTTTGCATAATCATCAAGATTAGTCATGTTAAAAATCACTTTTACTTGTTTATAGTAATCATATTTCTCCAAGTTATCATTGTAATTCTTTCTGTATTTTACTCTTACATTATTTTTTTTCTTCATTTCTTTTTCCTTTCTAATCCCAATTATTATTTTTTTCCTGAGACTAAATTCGTCACAACAGGAAAGAATGTGATGGGGAAGAAAACGTAGACCTGATTTTAATTTTGACTTGAAGAAAATTATTACTAAAATTAAAACCAGTGTTAGAAAATAAACATTCTTCAAATTTAATTTTTAAAAGTGAATCTGTATGACTTTTAAAGCATGAAGGTTTAGCTGCTGTTTGGTTTATTGAGCAAAGAAAAGATAATCAGCGTGTGAATGCTCCCAAAGGAAAATAGCTTGATTTGGTAGAAATGAAAAGAGGCAAGTCTGTAGGACTAAGTGGTACAAATATTAAAACTATTTTTGCCCAAACCAGTGAAGTAACCTTTAATGCATGTGATAAAGGTCATCTGGAAGATCATCTTTCCCACAGAACATTTCCTCTATGCCCCCATTAGGGATAGCGAGTGATCCCAGTGCTAAATAGAACATGCTCTAACCTCTATTTGTGTCTTTAGCTTACACTTTAATAGTGTTTTCCATTAAAATTATGTATTTGTAAATGAAACATAATTATAGATGTTGTTTTATTTCATTTAGGTCTTTAAATGGATGTCTGATTTAATCTTAATATTCTCAGCTCTGAAGTAGGTATCATTATTACTATTTTGTAGATGAGAAAACTGAGGTTCAGAGTGATTAAAGGACTTTCACAGGTATGAGACAATGCTGGGACTGAAAATTGGAGTTTCTACTTGAAAGTTTAGTACTCTTTCTGCTGTACTATGGTTTCTTTTTCTGATTTGGTTAATGGTGGGAGAGGAAACAGTAAGTAATACAGCCACTCAAAACTATTTTTTTCTATACATTATTAATTTTACTTGTAATTTGATAATAATTTTTAAAAATCTAAACTTATTGTTAAGAATATATTTTGTCTCTGTTAGAGGGAGTTGGCTGAAGTGGATGGAAATTGTACTCTGACTGTGACTCACCAAAAATATTAAAGGGAACAGAGTAGACATTTCCGTGCTTGCCTTTAGGCCTAAAGTTTAGGTTGTAACTCTACAGATATATATTCAAAGGGTTTGAATATTCAATTGAATATGACTCAATTTTCTCCTCCTTTGTTAGGTTTGGTTATTTCTGATGAAACGACAAGTTGGTTTTTAAACAAGCGAGAAATTTAGAATATTGAAAAACCTGACCACTATCACTGTCCTCCAGAAGAGATGTTCCTTGCTGGTGAATATGACAAAGGCCAGTACACATTTCCCCAAAAGATAAAAAGTCTGGTGGGCTGACAGATCTTAGATTTTTACCCGGTACCCACTTCACCGTATATAACTTTACAGTCTTTTTCCCTTTATTTAAAATAGACATTTTATCATGCCTATCATTTACATATTAGAATTGAACACATAGGTCACATTCCTAACAAATTCATCAAGCGAGCCTTCCTGGAAATTCTAGGTCTCTAACATTACTTAATTCTTGGGAGACAAAAAATTCCCACAATATATAACCCATATTATGTGTTTTGGGTTTTTATAAGAAAATAAGAAATGTGTGAATTAAACTTATTCCCTTATTGGCAGTATTTACCTAGTATTTTCTTGATATTTTTCCAATTCAGTATTTTCAAAGATGTTTTGGGGAAAAAGTCCTCTGTATTTTATACCTTTAAAACAAGTTATTGGCTAAAAAATTAGAATCTTCTGTTTATTGCAGTTGACTAGGTTTTAATGCTTTGTGTGTGAGGCAAAAACACCCATTTTCTTCATTTTAGTCACCATATAAATCCAGGGAAGCACTCTAGAGATGCAGCTGTGGTTTTGAGGACAATTTCAACATAGCTAATGGTACGGCATGTTTTACTTTTTAAACGTGGCTGTAGAAAAATCACTGTCTTATATTGCAGTAACTTTTTCATTTAGGGAGCCATATATTTAAAGATGCATTTCATTCATGGGAAGCACAATGGTTTATATGGTTTATTTATTGTGGAGACTGTCTAGAAAAATAAGTCTCTGTCAGTGACACATGCACACACATACGTGTATATTTATATAGAACACACACACTTTTTGTGTTATGTATACACACAGTTTTTTTTCAGTTATTTTAAGGGGTATGTTAAAAACATATTTTATCATTTCCAAGTACAAGAAAAGTAGAATAAATAGTATTATAATTCTCCGTGAGCTCATTATTTAACCTCAATAACTATCATGATACCTTGTTTCACGTATATTCCCCACATTACTGAATTATTTTTAAGCAAATCAGACATAATATTTCATCTGTAAATATTCCATATATATCTCTAAAAGTAAGAGTGCTTCCTTAAATATGTAAAACAATCTACTGACACACCTGGGCTTATTAATCATAGTTGTTCAGATGTCATCAAATTTAAAAGACAGACTTTTCACATTTATGGAACAGTCATTACATTTTTGGTTACTTATATATTTTTTCATTTCAATCCACAAGAGCTAATAAAGTTAATTCCCTTTCTTAAACTCACAAAGTATAAAATAGTGGTTAGGAGTATAGGCTTGAAAAACTAGAAGTCAAGGCCTTCCCTTGACTTTTATTAGCTACGTGGCTGGGGGCACATTAATAAGCCTCAATTTCCTCATCAGTAAAAATGGGAACAATACTACTTAGATCATACCATTATGAGTGCTGTATGATTTATATATGGAAAGTGGCCTTAGCTTAGTGCCTGGTATGTAGGATGGTCTTTGTAAATGTGAACTATTTTTTGAAAACTTGGAGTTGGAATTTGAACCCAGGTCTGACTGATCCCAAAGCCTGCGACCTTTCCACAGTGCCATGCTCAACTAGCGTGGTGACAACACTGGCAGCACCCCAGCCTGGACACTCTTTAAAGAGTATTTAATGTGTACTTATTAAGAGTCCACTCCTTGATAGCCCCAAACTTTCCATCATGATTGGCAAGCTAGTGACTGGAATTCTTTAGTTGTGGCAATCACTGGTCACAGAAAACAGCTGAGCCTAAACAGGTGGTTCTGAAGGTGAGCAGAGCCAGCATGGGCATGGAGAAAGGCTGAGCTGAACACCCTGTGGGCAGAGGGGTCTGATGGGAGAAAATGAGACCTGAGAAATGTCCCCTCCACTCCTCATAAAGAACAAGTTGCCAGGAGCCAGCATTCTGCATTCGTCTTAATCTTTTAGAGGAGAATTGTTATTCTGAGCCATGTCTTAGATGCCACAAGAATGAGGCCGGTCTTTGTGTTTGATTTGTGCTCATGATTACAGCTCTTGTGTCTTCCAACTTCATTTTTTTTTACGTCAAGAAATATTTTAGTCTAGATTTTGCTCAAAGCAGAACACACACATCAAGTTTTGAGACTGATTGTTTGCCAAAATGTTGTGGATTAAAAAAAAAGAGCAGGAATGCAGCATTTTCACCAAGCTAGAAAATTTAGCAGATTGGGCCAAAGACTGTACAATTATTAAGCACCTAATACAGATCAGGAGCTGAGGGACATATAAAAGACTACTTGTCCCGTCCCCCCGGGTTCTCACTGTGGTAAGGAGTAATAGCTGAAGCAGGAGACTTTTGTTGAATCTATGTTATTATTGATGTTTAGTGCTTCTACACTTTAAATTTTTCCACGATTATACAAGCCTGTCCTCTCTGTGCTTCAGAAGCAAGTGATGAAAGTTAATTCCTTCTTCTATTAATTCAACAAACATCTATTGACCTCTTACTGTATGCCATGTACTTTTGAAAGCACTGGGGCCATGGCAATGAACAAAACAGACAAAAAATCTCTCCCCTCATGGATAACATGGGGAGATAGAAAATAAACAAGAAAAATATAAAGCATGTTAGCAAAAAATGCTAAGAAGAAAAATAAAGCAGGGCAGGCGGGTTGGAAGGTTCAAGGAGAGTTATGAAATGTTAGATAAGGCCGACAGGGAAGGCGTTCCTGAGAAGGTGACTTAGGAATAGCGACCTGAAGGAAGTGAGGGGACAACCATGCAGGTGTCTGAGTATGAATGTTTCTAGACAAAAGTGACAGCAGCTGTAAAGACCCAAAAGCAGACTGTGATGGGCACATTGGAAGAATGGCAAGGAGGCTCCTGTGCCCGAGTGAGGGTAAAAGGAAATGAAGCAAGGGAGAGAATGTGTGTACGCATCGTGGCCTTGGGGGCCACAGTGAGGATGCTTGCATTAGGCTATTGTAGGGGTATGAGCAGAGCAGAGGCGTGATCTTACTGAGACTGTATTAGAATCACTTCTGTTGCTGTGTACAGAACAGAGGGATAATTTGGACAAGGCGCCTGATATGTAGTAAGGCAAAATAAGTGTAAATTGTTATTGCTAATTTTACAATTACTGTGGTCTTTACCTGTTGCTTGACTGTGCCTGTTGAATGAATTGACAAGGAGATTCATGAAACATGACACGGTCACTTATTTTACTGAAATGACTACATAAAAATGATTAACTCTGCTACACATGTCTTCTTTTATTTTGAAGTGATGATCTATAGAGAGCTGGCTCAAGCGGAAAAATTCCTTGTGGTTGTGGTCTATCTCTTGAGAAACTTTAGGATTAAATTTTTATTTTGGATGCTTAAGTGTGTCAACTTTAAATTGGCTATAAGTAGTATTTTTTAAAAAACCAACATAAATTGTGGCTAGGGAGATCAGAGTCCAGAATACCTTTAGAATATTAAACAAATCTATTTATTGCCCAAAACATATTTCTTAACAAATAAAACAACATGTAAATGTACGTATGCCAGTTATTCACAATGAATAATACAGCTTCGAATTAAATATTAGAATGTAGTTTTCTCTATTGTTACTTATAGAAATACTTCTGCAGTATGTCCTAGTGGAAAAATTTAAAAACATTTCTTATAGTAGGTCTTGTTTTTAAAAATTCTGGATTAGATAGTGATGCTATGCCTTGAATATATAGTATATTCTAAACAAATTATTATTGCCATTAAAATTTAAAGGGCAAGAATAAAGAATAAAGGTAATACTTTGTGGAGACAATTTAATGAACCAACTTTTCTGTACATTTTAATTTAAATTTATCAAACGTTTACATTTCTCTCTGTTTCTTTCTCTCTTTTTTTTTTTTGAGACCAAGTCTCACTATGTCACCTTCTTTTTCAACATGAACAGATTTATAAATATGCTAGAATTCACATTTCAATAGAAATAAATACTTGTGTATCTTTATCTATACTTATCTATCAGACCATTTATTTTGTTGTAACAAATCCAATTTTAAGAAAGGGTGGCTATTAGTCACTGAAAACAATAGTTTTCTAGGAGACTATTCCCTGTAGATCTTCACTACACTATCCATTTTGTTTGGCATTTGATGCTGTCTGTGAAATTCAAGAATTTCACTTACAGACGCCTTGTCAACTTTTCCTCACTTGAGGTTTCCCACACCCACTTAACTGTCAGTTGCTTTTCAGTAAAGCCCAAATTTAATGAACTTCAATTTCCTAGATTTCACTTAAAGGTGGATGTTGAGAGAATGTAGATGTAGAAAGAACCAGAACTGGAAAACTATAAATTTAGCAAACACTTAAACATACACTATTTGGTAGTGTTTTCTAGTCTTCATTCTTGCAATACAGTTTCTGAATCCTTCTAAAATGGGTATTTTCTCCTTGAAAAGCCAAAAAATGCTTTGCACATGTAAAACCATTTACAGCCACAGATGAAGGAATTACCTTCTTATTCCTTGTTACTTGCAACAATTTGAAGAGAGCATATAATAGAAAAAATCTTTTAAAAAAGTATTGAGATGAAGGAGGGAAAGTGTAACCGTAAAGATCTGTGCCTATAGATTCAATTAAACACATTCAAAAGCAAATTCTTTGGAAGAAATTTAGATTATGAAATTTGATGCTGGGTCTTGACAGAAACTTGAAACGTAGTAAGGATTAGCCCAATGGCATCAGGGCTGCTTGAATTCTGGTGAGCATAGGAATTTCCTGAATTACTTACCAAAAAACGTAGCTCCTTGGCCTACCACCAGGGACTCTGATTTAGTTGGTCTCTGGTAGAGTTTATGCAGAAATCATGTTTGAGAAGCCTTCTAGATGATTTGAAACAGGTGGTCCTATGACCACACTCTCATGATCTCTTGCCTCAACTGGTGCCTTGATGCTGGTACTCATTCATATTTTGTCCTTAGACTTGTAATTTAAAATTTGCCTGTTTTTTATGGTACCCATTATGAATTGGTACCTCTTATTCTTAGCAGATATTTTTACTTTTTATTTTTTTAGATGATAAAAAGCTGTAATCCATAATCTCCCTAAATGCTGCCTCCCCTTGCCTCAGAAAGTCATTACATCTTGCTCTTCCCTCTTTCTTCTTCCCATCTTAGAGGATAATGCATTTCCCACTTTTTTCTAAGATTGTATTTCTGCCTATTTTCTTCTATTTACTTGCTCAATGTCTGGTTCTTTCATTGTATTCCCAGCTCCATGAGAACACAGACTGTGACTGTTTTCTTGATCATTGTGTCTTCAGAATTGAGCACAGGGCTTATAGACACTCAGGAAATGTCTGTGTTCTGAAGCCATGAGAGATAGCTTGTCTTCCTTTTCCTACGAATCTATTTCATCTGTTATTTTTTTACCTCCAGTTCTCCAGCTTCTTCTCCCTAAACTCCAGAACCTTACCTTTGTGTATGCTCTCTCTTTCCTATGGCTACTTCTTTTTAAGCTACAAACATACATATTTCTGAAAATTAAAAACTACATTTCCCAGTGTTATGGTCTGAATGGTTGTATCCCCTCAAAATTCATATGTTGTAGTCCTAACTCCCAAGGTGATAGTATTAGGAGGTGGGGCCTTTGGGGAGGTATTAGATCATGAGAGCAGAGCCCCATGAATGTGATTAGTGCCTTAGAGAAGAAGCCCAAGGGAGCTTGGTGGCCCCGCCCACCACATGAGGACACAGTACGAAGGCACCAGCTATGAAAAATTGGGACCTTATCAGATAGTGAATCTTTGGATGTCTTGATCTGGGACTTCACAGATATTACAACTGAGAGAAATAAATTCCTGTTGTTTATTTTATTTTATTTTTATTTTCTTTTATTGTTATTATACTTTAAGTTTTAGGGTACATGTGCACAATGTGCAGGCTAGTTACATATGTATACATGTGCCATGCTGGTGTGCTGCACCCATTAACTCGTCATTTAGCATTAGGTATATCTCCTAATGCTATCCCTCCCCCCTCCCCCCACCCCACAACAGTCCCCAGAGTGTGATGTTCCCCTTCCTGTGTCCATGTGTTCTCATTGTTCAATTCCCACCTATGAGCGAGAATATGCGGTGTTTGGTTTTCTGTTCTTGCAATAGTTTACTGAGAATGATGATTTCCAATTTCATCCATGTCCCTACAAAGGACATGAACTCATCATTTTTTATGGCTGCACAGTATTCCATGGTGTATATGTGCCACATTTTCTTAATCCAGTCTATCATTGTTGGACATTTGGGTTGGTTCCAAGTCTTTGCTATTGTGAATAGTGCCACAATAAACATATGTGTGCATGTGTCTTTATAGCAGCATGATTTATAATCCTTTGGGTATATACCCAGTAATGGGATGGCTGGGTCAAATGGTATTTCTAGTTCTAGATCCCTGAGGAATCGCCACACTGACTTCCACAATGGTTGAACTAGTTTACAGTCCCACCAACAGTGTAAAAGTGTTCCTATTTCTCCACATCCTCTCCAGCACCTGTTGTTTCCTGACTTTTTAATGATTGCCATTCTAACTGGTGTGAGATGGTATCTCATTGTGGTTTTGATTTGCATTTCTCTGATGGCCAGTGATGATGAGCATTTTTTCATGTGTTTTTTGGCTGCATAAATGTCTTCTTTTGAGAAGTGTCTGTTGATGTCCTTTGCCCACTTTTTGATGGGGCTATTTGTTTTTTTCTTGTAAATTTGTTTGAGTTCATTGTAGATTCTGGATATTAGCCCTTTGTCAGATGAGTAGGTTGCAAAAATTTTCTCCAATTTTGTAGGTTGCCTGTTCACTCTGATGGTAGTTTCTTTTGCTGTGCAGAAGCTCTTTAGTTTAATTAGATCCCATTTGTCAATTTTGGCTTTGGTTGCCATTGCTTTTGGTGTTTTAGACATGAAGTCCTTGCCCATGCCTATGTCCTGAATGGTAATGCCTAGGTTTTCTTCTAGGGTTTTTATGGTTTTAGGTCTAACGTTTAAGTCTTTAATCCATCTTGAATTAATTTTTGTATAAGGTGTAAGGAAGGGATCCAGTTTCATCTTTCTACATATGGCTAGCCAGTTTTCCCAGCACCATTTATTAAATAGGGAATCCTTTCCCCATTGCTTGTTTTTCTCAGGTTTGTCAAAGATCAGATAGTTGTAGATATGTGGCGTTATTTCTGAGGGCTCTGTTCTGTTCCATTGATCTATATCTCTGTTTTGGTACCAGTACCATGCTGTTTTGGTTACTGTAGCCTTGTAGTATAGTTTGAAGTCAGGTAGCGTGATGCCTCCAGCTTTGTTCTTTTGGCTTAGGATTGACTTGGCGATGCGGGGTCTTTTTTGGTTCCATATGAACTTTAAAGTAGTTTTTTCCAATTCTGTGAAGGAAGTCATTGGTAGCTTGATGGGGTTGGCATTGAATCTATAAATTACCTTGGGCAGTATGGCCATTTCCACGATATTGATTCTTCCTACCCATGAGCATGGAATGTTCTTCCATTTGTTTGTATCCTCTTTTATTTCCTTGAGCAGTGGTTTGTAGTTCTCCTTGAAGAGGTCCTTCATATCCCTTGTAAGTTGGATTCCTAGGTATTTTATTCTCTTTGAAGCAATTGTGAATGGGAGTTCACTCATGATTTGGCTCTCTGTCTGTTATTGGTGTATAAGAATGCTTGTGATTTTTGTACATTGATTTTGTATCCTGAGATTTTGTTGAAGTTGCCTATCAGCTTAAGGAGATTTTGGGCTGAGAGGATGGGGTTTTCTAGATAAACAATCATGTCATCTGGAAACAGGGACAATGTGACTTCCTCTTTTCATAATTGAATACCCTTTATTTCCTTCTCCTGCCTGATTGCCCTGGCCAGAACTTCCAACACTATGTTGTATAGGAGTGGTGAGAGAGGGCATCCCTGTCTTATGCCAGTTTTCAAAGGGAATGCTTCCAGTTTTTGCCCATTCAGTATGATATTGGCTGTGGGTTTGTCATACATAGCTCTTATTATTTTGAGATATGTCCCATCAATACCTAATTTATTGAGAGTTTTTATCATGAAGGGTTGTTGAATTTTGTCAAAGGCCTTTTCTGCACCTATTGAGATAATCATGCGGTTTTTTTCTTTGGTTCTGTTTATATTCTGGATTACATTTATTGATTTGTGTATATTGAACCATCCTTGCCTCCCAGGTATGAAGCCCACTTGATCATGGTGGAGAAGCTTTTTGATGTGCTGCTGGATTCAGTTTGCCAGTATTTTATTGAGGATTTTTGCATCAATGTTCATCAAGGATATTGGTCTAAAATTCTCTTTTTTGGTTGTGTCTCTGCCCGGCTTTGGTATCAGGATGGTGCTGGCCTCATAAAATGAGTTAGGGAGGATTCCCTCTTTTTCTATTGATTGGAATAGTTTTAGAAGGAATGGTACCAATTCCTCCTTGAACCTCTGGTAGAATTCGGCTGTGAATCCATCTGGTCCTGGACTCTTTTTGGTTGGTAAGCTATTGATTATTGCCACAATTTCACAGCCTGTTATTGGTCTATTCAGAGATTCAACTTCTTCCTGGTTTAGTCTTGGGAGGGTGTATGTGTCGAGGAATTTATCCATTTCTTCTAGATTTTCTAGTTTATTTGTGTAGAGGTGTTTGTAGTATTCTCTGATGGTAGTTTGTATTTCTGTGGGGTCGGTGGTGATATCCCCTTTATCATTTTTTATTGCATCTATTTGATTCTTCTCTGTTTTCTTCTTTGTTAGTCTTGCTAGTGGTCTATCAGTTTTGTTGATCCTTTCAAAAAACCAGCTCCTGGATTCATTAATTTTTTGAAGGGTTTTTTGTGTCTCTATTTCCTTCAGTTCTTCTCTGATTTTAGTTATTTCTTGCCTTCTGCTAGCTTTTGAATGTGTTTGCTCTTGCTTTTCTAGTTCTTTTAATTGTGATGTTAGGGTGTCAATTTTGGATCTTTCCTGCTTTCTCTTGTGGGCATTTAGTGCTATAAATTTCCATCTACACACTGCTTTGAATGTGTCCCAGAGATTCTGGTATGTTGTGTCTCTGTTCTCCTTGGTTTCAAAGAACATCTTTATTTCTGCCTTCATTTCATTATGTACCCAGTAGTCATTCAGGAGCAGGTTGTTCAGTTTCCATGTAGTTGAGCGGTTTTGAGTGAGTTTCTTAATCCTGAGTTCTAGTTTGATTGCACTGTGGTCTGAGAGACAGTTTGTTATAATTTCTGTTCTTTTACATTTGCTGAGGAGTGCTTTACTTCCAACTATGTGGTCAATTTTGGAATAGGTGTGGTGTGGTGCTGAAAAAAATGTATATTCTGTTGATTTGGGGTGGAGAGTTCTGTAGATGTCTATTAGGTCTGCTTGGTGCAGAGCTGAGTTCAATTCCTGGGTATTCTTGTTAACTTTCTGTCACGTTGATCTGTCTAATGTTGACAGTGGGGTGTTAAAGTCTCCCATTATTATTGTGTGGGAGTCTAAGTCTCTTTGTAGGTCACTCAGGACTTGCTTTATGAAACTGGGTGCTCCTGTATTGGGTGCATATATATTTAGGATAGTTAGCTCTTCTTGTTGAATTGATCCCTTTACCATTATGTAATGGCCTTCTTTGTCTCTTTTGATCTTTGTTGGTTTAAAGTCTGTTTTATCAGAGACTAGGATTGCAACCCCTGCCTTTTTTTGTTTTCCATTTGCTCGATAGATCTTCCTCCATCCTTTTATTTTGAGCCTATGTGTGTCTCTGCACATGAGATGGGTTTCCTGAATACAGCACACTGATGGGTCTTGACTCTTTATCCAATTTTCCAGTCTGTGTCTTTTAATTGGAGCATTTAGTCCATTTTCATTTAAAGTTAATATTGTTATGTGTGAATGTGATCCTGTCGTTTTGATGTTGGCTGGTTATTTTGCTCGTTAGTTGATGCAGTTTCTTCCTAGCCTCGATGGTCTTTACAATTTGGCATGATTTTGCAGTGGCTGGTACCGGTTGTTCCTTTCCATGTTTAGTGCTTCCTTCAGGAGTTCTTTTAGGGCAGGCCTGGTGGTGACAAAATCTCTCAGCATTTGCTTGTCTGTAAAGTATTTTATTTCTCCTTCGCTTATGAAGCTTAGTTTGGCTGGATATGAAATTCTGGGTTGAAAATTCTTTAGGAATGTTGAATATTGGCCCCCACTCTCTTCTCGCTTGTAGAGTTTCTGCCAAGAGATCTGCTGTTAGTCTGATGGGCTTCCCTTTGTGGGTAACCTGACCTTTCTCTCTGGCTGCCCTTAACATTTTTTCCTTCATTTCAACTTTGATGAATCTGACAATTATGTGTCTTGGGGTTGCTCTTCTCGAGGAATATCTTTGTGGCATTCTCTGTATTTCCTGAATCTGAATGTTGGCCTGCCTTGCTAGATTGAGGAAGTTCTCCTGGATAATATCCTGCAGAGTGTTTTCCAACTTGGTTCCATCCTGCCTGTCACTTTCAGGTACCCCAATCAGACGTAGATTTGGTCTTTTCACATAGTCCCATATTTCTTGGAGGCTTTGTTTGTTTCTTTTTATTCTTTTTTCTCTAAACTTCTCTTCTCACTTCATTTCATTCATTTCATCTTCCATCACTGATACCCTTTCTTCCAGTTGATCGCATCAGCTCCTGAGGCTTCTGCATTCTTCACATAGTTCTCGAGCCTTGGCTTTCAGATCCATCAGCTCCTTTAAGCACTTCTCTGTATTGGTTATTCTAGTTATACATTCGTCTAAATTTTTTTCAAAGTTTTCAACTTGTTTGCCTTTGGTTTGAATTTCCTCCTGTAGCTCGGAGTAGTTTGATCGTCTGAAGCCTTCTTCTCTCAACTCATCAAAGTCATTCTCCGTCCAGCTTTGTTCCGTTGCTGGTGAGGAACTGCGTTCCTTTGGAGGAGGAGAGGCGCTCTGCTTTTTAGAGTTTCCAGATTTTCTGCTCCGTTTTTTCCCCATCTTTGTGGTTTTATCTACTTTTGGTCTTTGATGATGGTGATGTACAGATGAGATTTTGGTGTGGATGTCCTTTCTGTTTGTTAGTTTTCCTTCTAACAGACAGGACCCTCAGCTGCAGGTCTGTTGGAGTTTGCTAGAGGTCCACTCCAGACCCTGTTTGCCTGGGTAACAGCTGCGGTGGCTGCAGAACAGCGGATTTTTGTGAACCATGAATGCTGCTGTCTGATCGTTCCTCTGGAAGTTTTGTCTCAGAGGAGTACCCGGCCGTGTGAGGTGTCAGTCTGCCCCTACTGGGGGGTGCCTCCCAGTTAGGCTGCTTGGGGGTCAGGGGTCAGGGACCCTCTTGAGGAGGCAGTCTGCCTGTTCTCAGATCTCCAGCTGCGTGCTGGGACAACCACTGCTCTCTTCAAAGCTGTCAGACAGGGACATTTAAGTCTGCAGAGGTTACTGCTGTCTTTTTGTTTGTCTGTGCCCTGCCCCCAGAGATGGAGCCTATAGAGGCAGGCAGGCCTCCTTGAGCTGTGTTGGGCTCCACCCAGTTCAAGCTTCCTGGCTGCTTTGTTTACCTAAGCAAGCCTGGGCAATGGTGGGCGCCCCTCCCCCAGCCTCGCTGCCACCTTGCAGTTTGGTCTCAGACTGCTGTGCTAGCAATCAGTGAGACTCCATAGGCGTAGGACCCTCTGAGCCATGTGCGGGATATAATGTCCTGGTGCGCTGTTTTTTAAGCCGGTCGGAAAAGCCCAGTATTAGGGTAGGAGTGACCCGATTTTCCAGGTGCCATCTGTCACCCCTTTCTTTGACTAGGAAACGGAACTCCCTGACCCCTTGCGCTTCCTGAGTGAGGCAATGCCTCGCCCTGCTTCGGCTCATGCACGGTGCACTGCACCCACTGACCTGCACCCACTGTCTGGCACTCCCTAGTGAGATGAACCCAGTACCTCAGATGGAAATGCAGAAATCACCTGTCTTCTGCGTTGCTCACTCTGGGAGCTGTAGACCAGAGCTGTTCCTATTCGGCCATCTTGGCTGCTTCCCGCCAAATTTCTGTTGTCTATAAGCAACCCAGTTTATGCTATTTTGTTATAGAAACCTGAATAGACTAAGTGACTCAGTTTCTTATGCTATGTAGTGTCTTTGTTCAGTAAAAACAGTTAGCGATGTCCTGCTATTGATATTGAAAAAAGGTTGAGTTATTTTCCTTCTTTCAGTGGACATTTGGAGGTCTATACAAAGCTGTAAGGGGCAAGAGGTACATGGGCCAGCCGTAAAGTTTGTTTATTCAAATGGAGCTTGTTGATCTGTCATATTTTTCAAGTTGAGCTACTCTGCCAGGGCAACATTCTACTGTATTCAAATCAGCTGTTTTGGAATTGGTACACCTGCTAGTGTCTGTTTCTGAACACTGAATGAGTTGCCATAAGGGAGAAAATATAATTCTCTTCATCAACTAGAAAATATAATTCAAAGTAGCAATAAGATCTGTAAGATACCTACAATCAATGTAATAAAGAACACATTTATTTTATGTGGAAAAATTTAAAACTGTACTAAAGATAAATAATAATAATCTTTAGTAAACTGTACGAAAGGAAATAAATAATAATCTTTCTGATTAGAGAGACATTTCATGCTTCTGGCTGGAATGACTTAATATTGTGAAAATACCACGTACTTCTTGAATTAATCTATAAATTCAATATAATTTCAATCAAAATATCAGTTATATTTTTCGTGTACTGGGAAGAATAATTGTTCACAAATAATAAATTTAAATTTAATAACAATAAAAAGTATACGTGGGTGAATCTTGCTTGCTCTATCAAATATTGAGAAATTAGCCCAAGAACAGACAAACTGACCGACAAAATGGAATAAAAAGTGCAAAGACAGATTCGTGTGTATGTGTAAATATATTTAATTTACAATAAAATGACACTGCAAGTCAAGGGGGAAAAGATGGATTATTAGGAAAATGTTGGGAAAACTGGTTTACCATATGCAGAAAGATAAACTTGATTGCTAACTAACAGCATTCAAAAGTAGACTCTAGATGTGACAAGTAAAACTATACAGTTAACAGAAGAAACAGTAGAAGAAAGCCTTTGATCCTAGAGAATGATTTCTCAGACTTTCCTGGAGAATGATTTCTAGAACTTTCAAAGAACAAACTGTAAGGCAAATGTTGGTGAATTTGTTTATATCTAAACTAATGATTTCTAATTAATGAATGGAAAATGTTAAGAGCTAACAAAATGGGTGCATCTATATGTTCAAGATATTAATATCTAAAAACGGTAAATATCTAGAATATATAAGAAATACTTGCAAATTAATAAGGAAAAGACAACAATCTCAACAGAAAAATACATAAAGCATAAGAATAAGCAATGTACAAATATTTTAAGAAACACAAAATAATGCACTTTTTTTGGCAAGAAAACACACAATGCAAAATCTTAAAGACATTAGAATGCCTGTGGAGGGGAATTTTAATATTTAAAAATAGTTATGTACCATACTAGATTTTGGATATTGAAGACAGAAATGAATTTAATTCCTCCATGTTCAGCTATGCTAAGCAATAATGTTTGAGGAAAAAAAAACACATCCTAATAGCCATAAATTAGATTATAATAGAAATCAGTAGGAGGCCGTGGCACCTGTCTAGATATGTGCTGCTGAATACCTGGACTTGGGTGGTGGCAAGGGAATGGAGTGATGGGTCAGCAGGCTTTTGTATTGGCATGGATGTTTGAGGGAATGAAATAAATAAATAAACATGAGTTTTAAAGCCAAGTGAAGGTCCAATTTCCAGTAGTACTGCTTAGAATCATTTGAACTAATTGTTCAACTAAAAATGTTGGATAAACTTTAAAAAAATTCTTAAAATGTAAACAACTTGGCAAGACATAAAGCCATTTCAGATCAAAATGTATAATTCCTTTATCCCACTGTGACTCCCAATCTACTGATCCTACCCACATTTCAGTGTCCCTCACCCCCATGATATCCTAATTTTCCTCTTTGATTACTTAAATTGCATAGACAATTAATATAAATCACTCCCTTGTATATTTCCTTGATTCCTTTGTCCTTCTTGGGTTTTACTATAGTGGCTTGGCTCAACTTAATTAAACCCAAGTTTCTCCCCCTATACTTGTGTAGCTGAGCATGGTTGATGCAAAACATAAAACATACAACCACATTGAATGGCATCACTTTAAATTTAACGTTATCAAGCAAACATACTTTCTGTCCCTAGTCCATTCATATGGACTAGGTACCCACTCACCTGGATGACTATTTCACAACTTTCTTTCTTTTCAAAATTCCAGTCCCTTTCCTCATTTTCAATTTTAGCTGATTGACTTTTTTTAAAATGAGACATTTAGAACAATCTAGAGAGAACTTCCCAACACCATGTTTGATCATCAGCATTACATTCCTTTACTCTTCCTTCCCCCCTCAATGAAATATACATGCTTTTATCAAAAGCCAATCCCTCTATTTGTGCCGTAGATGTGATCCCTTCTCACCTTTTCCATGACATTTCTCCAGCAATTCTCCCCACTGCTTCTTATGACATCAATTTTTCACTTTACTGAAGTATTCTCCTTTAGCATACAAATCTGCTGTTATTTCTTCCATATGAAACAATATGAACAAGCTTTTCTCGAAACAGTTCTGCCATCCAGCACGATTTTTGTCCCCTTTGCAACAAAGCCCCTTGAAGGAGTTGTCTATACTTCTTGTTTTCACTTCCATTCCTCACATTCTCTCTTAACCCATTCTAATCAGTTAGGCTTCTACTGCCCTCCCCTATGGTCTCCAATGGCCTCTACTTTGCTAAAGACTAGTTCTTGCCCCTCATTTTAGTCTTGACCCATCAGTAACATTTACTTCTGATTATTGATTGTTCAATTCTTTTTAACATATGCTTTCTTTTGGCTTCTAGGACATCACACACTCCTTTTCCCTCCTGCTTTGCTGGTCTTCTATTCCTCTGTCTTCTTCACTGGTTTTTTCTTTTTTCTCGTATATTTTAGAGTTGGAAAGTATCCTAGAGTGTTTTCGTTTTTTTCTCTTTTTTCTTTGTACTCACTATCTCAGTGATCCCGTTCTCATCTGATTTTGAGGCCTTGAATACCATCTGTATGTTTATGACTCCCAAATTTATATCTTCCGCTCAATCTCTTTCCAATTAGCTACTTGATATTTTTACTTGTACATCTGATAGATTATTTTAAACTCAACATATTAAAAACAGAACTTCTGAAACCTTCCACACTGTCAAACAAACATATAAAAAGTATAACAATACTACTTTGGTTGATGACAACTCAGGCCATAAGCCTTTGTCTAATATTTGACTATTCTCTGACTCTTATACCCCACATCCCATACTTTATTAATTGCATTGGAAATTCAGTTTCCATCTATGTAAAGCTCCATGTTGATCTGCTGCAAGGATAGTTGTGGGCCCCAGTGCAATAAAAATGTGGGGCTCCTGATAGGGAAGGGAAGTCAATGATTCCTTCTTACGGGTCCTTCTTCTAATCCATGGTGAACAGATGACCCTCCATAGATTGTCGCCTCCTCTCTCAGATGTGCTTGGTACCCGGATTGGGAGTGGTAAGAGGCTCTTGCCAAATTGTCCATGAAATGCTCTGTGTTGCTGCCAGCCTAGAGTAGAGAATCACTGCCTTGATCTGCCCTAAGATATCACGTGGTGTGCACCCAACACTGACCCTCTCTGTGCTTGCATCCAGGCCCTCTTGGGGCTGGAAGGTAAACAACAGAATGTGAGTCTTTCCTTGCCGAAGGTGAGGGTGTTAGTGGTCACAGGGATGGTGTAGGGAGGAGGAGGCTGGACAGGGCCTAGGTGGCCAAGAACCCATATTAAGTTGGTGGGAAGGTGGAGAAATGGTAGGAGGAGGCTATCCATGAATGAGTTTCCAACCACCTGTGCATGCTCCCTTGTCCCATCAAACTTCACTTAAAAATGCAAATTCAGATGATCAGATTCAATGGATAATCTTAGCCAAGTTATTTAACTTCTCTAAGCCTGTTTTCCTTAGATCATCATTTCAATATGGTGGCTGCAGAGTACTAAATTGCAAATGCAGGGCTTTTTTGAGCATTGAGTCTTGTGTGACTGCATTGATTACGCTCCCATGAAGCCAGCCCTGATCTGGTGATATTGCCTAGCCAAAAATAAGACTCCATTTAATGATTGCCTTTTGCCTTTCTTACTGGTACTTCTGACTTCTCTTCCTTCTGATTGCCCAATTGGCATCTTTTCTAGGCTGTCAAATTTTACCCAGAGCCTCCAGGATTTGTGATGACTTCGAAGAAGGTTTGGACTCTGATCTCCGATCTTCAGTTTTCAGAACCCAGTTAGTTATGAGTTAGGGATGGTCTTTTTTTTTTGCACGTAACACTTAAAAGCATGAATTTTGAAGACAACTAGACCAGAGTTTAAGTCCTGTGTTTGCTCTTACTTGATGGGTGAACTTGGGCAAGTTATTTAACCTCGCTAAGGCTTGCTTTCCTTAGATCATTCATTTAGAAGACTGTGTGGTTAAGAGTGTATGCTGTAGGCAGTCTTTAACCTCTCTGTGCCTCAGTTTCTTCCTCTGAAAATGGGAATGATAATACTACCTACCCTATAGGATTGTATTGAAGATTCAGTGAGTTAGTACATGCTAAAGTACTTGGAAAATGCTCAGAACAGGCTGGCACCATTGCAAGGGTTTAGTAAATGCTAACTATTCTATTCATTTATTCATTGAAAAAATGTTTATGTAGCACTTATACTGTTCCATGCATACAGTTTCTCATCTAATGAGTAGTATTATAGATAAATATCTACAAATAAAGTGAGACTTGTTAAATGCTTAGCACCATGACTGTCACTTTGTATAATCTTAACAAATGTTAGCTATTACAATTATAACCAATAATGATAATTATTAAGTTGTTAGCCAGAAGAAAGATATCTTGGTTATAGCTGTTTGATGGTAATGAGAGGTGAAAGCTGCGTGGTAAAAAACATATTCAAAGAATATCCTAGTCCTATTCCTTGAGGACATTCTATTTTTCCATGCAGAGTGAGCAGCATAGATCTCAGATGACAACTTGGTCTCCCTACCATTTGATCAAGATAAAATTGAATTGGACCCCCTATCTCATAACCTGCATACACCATTAGACCTCCCAAGATTTCTTCAAAAGATCCACCCAAGGATTTATGCTTTCATAATCCTCTTTTCTTGTGAGTGGTTTTTTCCCAGCAACATGTCTAACAAGGAAAGAGACCACAGATCTAGGTTTTCTAAAAGAATACCCTCACATTAGTGAAAAACATAGAATTTAGTGTATATTTTGCAGGAGGGCAGAAGAAGCGTTGATTACATGGCACATGGTAGAACAAACAATTATTAAACTCCATGTTAGTGATTCTTGTTCTTCTAAACCCCTCTGTTACTCTGCTGCCATACTGGGCATTTTTTCCCTTCTTTATTGAGCACCTCCTTCCTTTCACATTGTCTCTTATCCACTCCAGGAATCCCCCAATTTTCCTGGAAAATAATTGGATGTTTTCTGGCTTACACTCCCAAACTTATATTTAGACATTTATCAAGTGCTCAACTCATCAATGGCCTTCTAGTAATATAATTCATTCTTCAGAGAAAATTCAGTGGTGAAATATTTCCTTATTATATTTGCTTTATATGTTTGGCAATATGTATTCCTTCATTTACGTGTTTATTTGAAAAGTATCTGTTGAATGCAACCTTTGGTTCAGGCATTAGGCTTTTAGTAATATGATGGGAGTCCCTGACCTCATGGGTATTTAATTAAAAAGTTAAAACATAGATATACATATCTATATCATACACTGACATTGCTTTGGTGTTATAGCATACATTTTAAAAGAGCCTTGTCAGAATTAAACTTTGTTTTTCAGCTACTCTGTACTCACTCTCTGGTCCTCCCACTTAGATCTAGGAACCGAGTAAGGACTGGCAGTATATGCAATGGGGAGTAGTGGCTGGAAGGTGAGTCTCCAGATGACATCCGGGATCTAGTGCCTTCATTTCTCTGATGAAGCCATGCAAATAACCATAAGAGAAAAAGTTAATTGAGGTGATGAGTGGATGAAGAGAGTGAGTCATGGTTACCAAGAATAAAAGTGCTGAGTTGTTGATGAGGTACAGAAATAATTAGTAACATATTTACAATTGCTGACATTTCCTAACTACTTTCAGCTGGTTCTTTGGTGTGGACTGTATGAAACTTAATAATTGGTACTCATTTAATCTTAAGTAGGGTCCAAAATGTTCTTCTGCTTGGTCTGATTCTTTCTTCTTTTGTTCAAACTCCTTTGATAGACAAACAGAGGAAAGAGAAGGAGGCAACTGTTCCAAGATAGATTCTTCCCCAATACAGAAAAGAGAGACAAGAAAAATCATAATTTTCAATGCCATATATTTGTATGTAATGCAGACCAAACTTCTTGTTTAAAAATGATAAAGTAAGTCATGCTTATAAGGCTCATGGCTTGGTGTTTTCTCAGCAAGAAAAACAGATCCAAAGGTTGATATAGTCTAGAGGATCTACTAGATTGATCTTAAAATGAAAAACTATATAATGCTAAAGAACAATGTTAGAAAATCGTCTAGATAAAAAGTAGTTCCTTTCTAAATAAAAAAGCTACTTCCCACATACGTTCTCTTGATTATGCTCCAAATTCTAGGTCCTAAATACAATTCAATAAATATATGAACAATAAGCGTTGAAATGGAAGACGAGCAATCAATAATTTATCATAGCCCATTTACATGATCTTGTAGAGTATGAACCCAGATATATTGTTTCCACTAATCTATGGTACTATCTTAATGAACTAAGAGGAGATATACAGATTCAGTACGTTAGGCCTTCAAATAACATTTTTAAAGCTTCCTTTTTCTTAGTTTATTGCAAAAGGAAATATTGGTTCCTCCTGAATAGATGTAGTGGTTAGATAAATTTCAGCACTCAAGAGACCAAAAAAAAAGGCCATGAGAGAAAATATCTTTCTTAGACTCACTTAAGCTTGTTATCTTTTGGCTGTTGCCTGTATTCTTTTGCATTCTTTAGCCACATTGGTTATTCAAACACAGTGAATTAAAGCCATTAGTTTTAGTTTTGATGATCTTGTATAGAAGGTTAGTTGATACGGGGTTTTGCATGTAAAATCAGGGTTAGCTGATATTCATTCTATAAATTCAGCATTTTGTGAGAATTTTGATGGAGTCTTAAAGCCCTTTTTAAATATTTCATTGAATTGATAGGAGTCTTGTGTAAGTAAAGAAACTCTATTCCCAAGCTGATCCACTGATTTGTGGACTTGTCACTTGGTAGTAGATACTTGTTTTTGGCATCACATATCCATTTACCCTTCATCTGGGTAATAAGAGGTTAATGTTTATTTAGAAATCAATTTCTTCCCTATTTTTAGCTACACAGTTAGAATTGACTCCACTACTGATCCTACATGTGTGGTTTGTGAGTTCAGGCTTGACTCAGAGCTTCTCCTTCTGGCCATGATAATCAGCATGAACATATGATTCGGTCAGAGACAAGAAGACACAAAGAGAATTTTGCAGGTGATTGTGAGAAATTTTTTTTCCTATTGGACTTAAATCGAGTGGGATAAAATCAACAAGAAAAATGCAGAGCTCAGTAATGTAGAAAAACTTTGTCCTATGACGTTGCTTCAGCCCTGAATCCAGCCAGACATGCCCCCAACCAGTCTTACCTTTAGACTTTTCAATTACAGGAGCCAATACATTTCCTTTTTGGTTAAGCCAAATATAGGTTGGGCTTTCTCTCACTTGCAACCAAAAGAGTTCTCATTGACATGGGCTTCTTCTTTATCTTCTTCTTTTTTTAATTCTAAGACAAACTTGAGTGAATCTGTTTGGATGGTGGCTTGCCTATCATTGTTTTCATCTTACCCAAGTTGACCACACCCACAGAGACATGCTCTGTTATTTTCAGTTTACTCAGATGATTTTTTTTTAACATAAAGAATTTTCTGCATAAAGAAAAGCTTTACAATGGTGCTTTGAGTTGAATTGTGTGGTCTCTGCATCTCCCTTATTTGCATGTGGAAGTCCTAATTTCTAGTGCTTCAGTGTGGCCTTATTTGAAGGGTCTTTACAGAAGTAATCCAGTTGAAATGACATCATTAGGGTAGGCCCTAATCCAATATGACTGGCATTCTTATAAAAAGGGGAAATTTGAATACAGACACACATACAGGGAGAATGCCATGCGAAGATGCCGGAAGAAGATGGCCATCTGCAAGCCCAGGAGGGAGGCCTGAAACAGCACGTTCCCTCACAGCCCTCAGAAGAAAACAACCCTGTGGATACCTTGATCCTGAACTTCTAGACTGTGGAACTGAGAGACAATAATTTTCCATTGTTTAAGCCATCTAATGTGTGATACTTTATTACAGCAACGCTGGCAAATGCATACAATTGGCAAAAGGGACTCGCATTAAAACCTGAGTGAGTAAATAAAAAGAAGTACAATTTTATTTGATTTAATTTGATAGAGCATTCACTACAAGTTGTTGTTATTTGTAGAGCTAGAAATGGATTAAGAAAGCACTTGGGAAAATCAAGGATGGCAAAGTTATAAACTAAATAAAGGAAGAGATTCAATGTATTTAATATTCAAAGCTGATTTCAGGGAAGATTGCTTTTGGCAAGAAAATGAATGCGCCATATTTACAGCATGTGTGGCAATTTCTATGTTTCTATACTTCGATATTTAGAAAATTAATGTAATGTGATATGGCATTTCATGCTTTCTTAAAATATTTCAAAACATATATTTTTCTGCAAATCCTTCAATAAAAAAACTAAGAAATTTCAGAATAATCCCAATGTTTATACATTTTCATTGCTGCCTTTCTTTAAAATCTGTCATAAAATAATCATTAAAAATTATTACAATTTTCTTGAATTATAATTGTCCTAAACCACTTACTTTCTTTTATGGAACTACAAGAAAAAATATAAAAACGCCAGTTAAACTCTTACTTAAAGCCAAACCCCTTTACATTTAAATTCTGGACTAATAGCCAAGGATTTAGATTCAGAGGTTGGCTAATTACAAGAAAGAAAACAGAACTCTAGTGAAAGGTATCCCTATCATTTACATACATGTTTATATTAATATGTGTATATATATGTATATCCACACAGACACAAAGTATTATATAAGGTTTGTTTTAAAATGAATATATTTGATTTGAAAGGCTAAAAAAGATTACAGATCTCAGAATGTTTTGTCACAGAATAGATATGATACCTCCAAATTAAGTGGACAAATTTTTAAGTAGCCTGATCTATGAAAACTATATAAATGTAAACTTTTTCTTACTAGATATTACATAAAATGACAGACAACTCTTTAATTTTCTTAAAACTCTGACACATTTTACAGTTGTCTGTCTTGGTGTTGGATGAAGGAGCAAAGAGAATGCTGTTTTACAGAGGTTACATTTCTCCTACTATATGACAGAGATTTTAAAAAAAGTATTGTCCTTTTGCCCTCCCTCTTCAAAGAGTGAAATCCTACTCATAAGCAAAAATTGATTTTTTAAAAATAAAAGACGTTATTGTTTGCCCTTTCTACCAGAACTGCATGATATTGCCATGGTCTCAATTTATACTCCATATGGTTTGTAGGAATATTTCATATAAAGTATTTGTGGGAATTCTTAGGAAAAAGATGTTTTGCCAATAGACAATAAAATACTCTTCAGTTTCCAAATTTAGAGATCAAAAGTTTTATGTGATTCGTTGCCTCTAGCATCTATTCTATTTCATGGTTTGTCATATTCTAACATTTTGCATTATTTAAAAAAATCTTTCTTAGAATGAGGCTGAATAAAGCATGCAGAATTGTCTGCTTGGAAATTGTACACATAGCATTAAACAACTTTTTAACACGTTGTTGTGTGCTTAATTCCTCGATAATCTCATCCTAATTATTTACTGCTTTACATCTTTTTATTTTTTAATTTTTTAAAATTAATACATAGTATTTTGCATATGTATGAGCTACATGTGAGTATTTGTTACCTGCATAGAATATGTAACAATCAAGTCAGGGTGTCTGGGGTGTAACTTACCTTGAGTTCTTACTTTTATGTCTTAGTAATATTCAAGTCCTCTTTTCTAGCTACCTTAAAATATACAGTATATTATTACTAACTATAGTCACCCTACTCTGCTTTAGAACATTGGAACGTATTAGTACTTCTGTCTGTTTACATCCATTTAAGAACCTGTCTTCATCCCCCTCTCCCCAACCTTCATACCCGTTCCCAGCCTCTATCCTCCACCTCCCGTTCTTTTGTGTTACCCAGGGCAGTACACAACTTCAAAGGATATAGCCTGTGTTAAATTGGAGGACACACACACAAGAACAACAACACTTTAAGGAAAAGTGTTCTTTCACTAGCGGCTTCTGAGTCTTATTAAAGGAAAATGAAGTTTCTATATAAAATGCTAGATACCCACCACAATTTCTTTCATGTGAATTACACTTGTTTTTGGTATATCTTGTGTGTGTATGTGTGTGTGTGTGTGTGTATGCACACACCCTTTGTAAATTTGGGTTACAGAGGCAGAAATCAAAAGGTCAAACAACAGCTAGTAATTTCTCACTCTGTATATTCTTATCACATTTCTCAAAAAGACTGTACTGTTCTATGTGATATTGATCTTGATTATTTCTGTGAACACATTTTCTTAGTTAATAATATGCAGAATTCTGACTCTATTGTATCTCTTCTCTTCATTTTTGAGAATTTTAGTGCCAGAAAGGACATTTATTTTATCCAGCTGCAAACTTAAATAAGCTCTTCATTTCTCTAGGTCACTGATGGCAAATGTTAAACAAATTTACATTTGGGATTTTCTATTCATTTCCCACCCGGTTGACACTGAGCCAGTGATAACCACTCAATAGCTGTGCAGCCCTCAATAGTATGTGTGACCCATACTGTGTTTCCAGTTCATTGATGACTCTATCATGCTGGGCTAAATCTAAAATCTTGCTAAAGTCATGAGAGATCATATCTACTGTTTTCCCTTTGTGTCCCAAGAGTGACTTCCTTTGAAAAAATGTGAAAAAGAGTTTTCACTGTAGTCAGTCTAGATGTTAAAACTTTATTTGAGCACGAGTTTCTGTAAAATAGAACTTGAAGATCCTGTAAAGTTAAAACATATAGGCACACTTTTTCTTCCTGGTCACTTTGGGCCTGTTCTGTAGCAGTGTCTGCCCATAATTGGTATAGTAAACTGTTCTCTAGTTATGAGCTTCTTATCAAGCTCTCAGGAGTGCATTGATTCTATTTTTGGTTAATTTTTAATTATTTATACTTATGTCACTAAGCTGATTAAAGTGGAGAATTAACCTCAAGCTTAGCCGAGTGGCAGCTTCTCTCAGTCAAAGACAAGGATACTGACTGGTTGTCAGAATATTTGGGTTCTCTTGTCAATTACCACCCAAAGCTACATGTTCTCCAGGAAGATCCTTTACCTTTATATCAGTTTCATCATCTGAAAGGTGAAGATAACAATATGTATTTTACTGAACATGAAGGGCTTTCCCAACTATCAAATGAGATAAAATATATGTAAGTTGTTTTAACACTCTAAATATTTGAATTATTTACTTAATAACATATTTGCATTTTTTTAGGATTCATATATTAGTAACATATTTTTCAAAATAATACCTTAAACAATATGTTTCACCATGATAAACATTTCCAGATTCTGATTATATATTTTCTACTTTATGGCTGAGGCTATGGTTTAAAAATATATTGTGTGATATATTGCTAATAAATTAAAATTTTTTTATTCATATGAATTGGATTGAAAAGAAATGAAAGCAAGTATTTCAGTAATTCAAGATAAAAACTACTCCCATCCAAACTCTCCAAATTTCTTTTGTGTATTTGAAATTGACTTGGAGGACCAAAGAACTGATATTTTGATGTTGCACATAAAGGAATGGAACAATAACATCAAATTGTACTTCTGTTGAAAATATATATGTGAAATTAA
Source organism: Homo sapiens (assembly GCF_000001405.40). NCBI lineage: Eukaryota > Metazoa > Chordata > Mammalia > Primates > Hominidae > Homo > Homo sapiens. Next base: position 110,775,745 of record NC_000004.12, read on the forward strand.
ATGTTTTTGTATAATTAAATTGTTTTGTAAAAAATTTTAATCTTCTATTATTTGTGTTTTAGTCAAATTAAAGTGTGTGTGTATACCATATCCAGAGAATGTATTTCCTCTGAAGTGATCAGGAGATTTCATTTATTTCCCTATGTTACCTTGGAGAAAATTACTTTTAGAATAGGTAAAATGTAAATAAGGGGTAGTGAAATTAAATTTTTACTTGCCTATGACTTTTCCTACTATTTACTTTATATCTTATATTGTTTAAACAAGTTAAGTGGGGAAGAATAGGAATTATTTTGGGAACAGCAGAGCAGGTGAAGGTGTAGGGTTTGGGCAGCTGGTAAGACTTTAACATTTTTATCCTTCAAGTGTACTAGCCACCTTAAAATTGCAAAATCACACTTGCCTAGAGCTTGGTAATCATCATATGTTAAAGAAACATACTTGACATCAACCTGAGATCTTTTCTTTATTTAATAATCTTAAATTTTGCTTGAATTTGAGTTAATTTTTCATTGAAAATTTATATCTATTTTCTTCATCTGTTATGATTTTTTTTCTGAAAGTGACATTGTCTCTGTTGATAAATCTGGAAATAAAAATGTTAAGACCAGCAATGGCTATTTCTAAGTTTATTCTATAGGGAAGCAGAAATAATAGCTTGGGATTTATAATTACTTCTGAAATAACTTCATCCTCTGAATACTGTTAATTTTTTCTTTTTTTGTTTTTTATTTTTATTGAGACAGGGTCTCCCTCTGTCGCCCAGGCTGGAGTGCAGTGGCTGGATCATGGCTCACTGTAGCCTTGGCCTCCTGGGCTCGAATGATTCTCTCAGCTCAGCTTCCCAAGTAGCTGGGACTACAGGTGCGCACTACCATGCCCGGCTAATTTTTTATTTTTATTTTTAGTACAGATGGGGGTCTCCCTATGTTGCCCAGGCTGGTCTTGAACTCCTGGGCTCAAGCAATCCTCCTGCTTAAACTCCAAAAGTGCTGGGTTTACAGGTGTGAGTCAATTCACCTTGGCAGTATTTTCTACATTCTCACTTACGAGCACTTCATTGCAGTCATACCATTGGACCATGAGTAATCTTATAAATGACATACATTATTTTACAGTCCTATTAAAATTGTTTACTTTCTATTTTAGGGAAATATTTCATAAATGATTATTTCAAATCAAAGAACTTAGTGAACAGAGTAACATATCTAAAAATATGAAACTCCAGGATGCTGCCTTCTAAGGGTTGAGCAACTAATATGTTATTTATGTTACTACTTTGAGCTTTCTGTTGGGATTTTCATAATTTAGTATTATATATTGTAGAACAAAAATTAGATGGACAAGCACTCTCTTGGTCCATGTAATTTATTTTTCATCTTATTTCAGTAGCTTTGTAGAGGACTATGGTTACAATAATAATAAAAATAAACTAATCTGAAACAATTTTAAAGATGTAAAGTTTTCCAGAGCATCAAAAGCACGTTCTGATAGTCTACAACCACTCTAGGTGGTGTGGAAATGTATATAAACAGATAAACAAGTTTTGCATCTGGGACTTTATAATTTAAAGTGGCAGGAAATGAAAGAAACAGGTAGGTAACAGAAAAACATGGTATTGATGTTGAATATGTTTTCCTACAGGTGTGTGTGTGTGTACGTGTACGTTTGGAAGGTGAAGAACATAGTGGGGAGACAGGAAGCTCAGTACTCAGGCAGATCAGCCAGATACCGTCCATGTTGCAACTAAGTTCCCATCAACACCAGGCAAGGATAAACAATACTAGGGTTATGGATGATAACTCTAGTCATTTTAAATAGTATTTTTTCCTAATTATTAGCTGAATAATTAGAGGGAATATAAGTTTCCCTTGGGTGTCCTCCTAGATGCTGAAGCTAGTCACTAAGCAGGGTGCTGAGAGCTGGATGCAGGATCCAAGGGCCATCACGCTGGACCCGTCTTCACTCATGCCCCTTAGCTGAAGTGCTCAGATCCACACATATCACCGGCCAGTGAAAACAGGAATAGCCAATTGGACAGCCTACACATGGTTACCCATGGCTCCAAGTGCAAGTGCTCCAAATTATAATGAGGAAGCTGCATCTTCTTTTCTGACCTAGCCATGCTGTGTTATCTCCCCTACATTCTTTTGGTTGTGACTCAAAAACCCACCCAGATTCAAGAGGTTAGGATATAGGCTCCATTTCTTCTTCTTTTTTAATAACTTCAACTTTTTAGATTCAAGGGTCGTACATATGCAGGTTTGTTACACAGGTGCATTGTGTGATGCTGAGGTTTAGGGAATGGATGATCCCATCATCCAGGTGGTTATCACAGTACCCAATAGGTAGTTTTTCTACCCGTGCTTCTCTCCCTCCCTGCCATAGTAGTCCACAGTGCCTATTGTTCCCATGTTTATGTCTATACGTACTCAGTGCTTAGCTCCCTGTTCCCATGTTTATGTCTGTATGTACTCAGTGCTTAGCTCCCTGTTCCCGTGTTTATGTCTATATGTACTCAATGCTTAGTTTTAAATGAGAACACGTGGTATTTGGTTTTTTGTTCCTGTATTAATTCATTTAGGATAATGGCCTCCAGCTGCATCCATGTTGCTGCAAAGTACATGATTTCATTCTTTTTTTATAGCTGCATAGTATCCCATGGTGTATATGTGCCACATTTTCTTTATCTAGTCCACTGTTGATGGGCATCTAGGTTGATTCCACATCTTTACTATTGTGCAGCAATGAACATAGGGGTGCATATGTCTTTTTTTTTAAACAACTTATTTTCCTTTGGATATATACCCAATAATGGGATTGTTGGATTGAATGATAGTTCTGTTTTAAGTTCTTTGAGAAATCTCCAAACTGCTTTCCACAGTGGCTGAACTAATTTACATTCCCATTAAGAATGTATAAGCATTCTGCTTTCTCTGTAACCTTGCCAACACGTGTTGTGTTTTTGGCTTTTTAATAATAGCCATTCTGACTCATGTGAGATGGTATATCATTGTGGTTTTGATTTGCATTTCTCTGATAATGAGTGATGAGAAGCAGTTTTCCATATGTTTGTTGGCCGCTTATGTGTCTTTTGAGAAGTGTCTGTTAATGTCCTTTCCCATTTTTAAATAGGGCTGTTTGTTTTTTTGCTTGATGATTTGTGTAAGTTCCTTATAGACCCTGGATATTAGACCTTTGTTGGATGCATGGTTTGTGAATATTTTCTCCCATTCTGTAGGTTGTCTGTTTAGTCTGTTGATGGTTTCTTTTGCTGTGTGAAGTCTCTTTAGTTTAATTAGGTCCCACTTGTCGATTTTTGTTTTTGTTGCAATGACTTTTGGGAACCTAGTCATAAATTCTTTGCCAAGGTCAATGTCAAGAAGAGTATTTCCTAGGTTGTCTTCTAGGATTTTTATAGTTTGAGCAGACTTCACTTCTTAAAGGGAGACATATCAAGGTCACATTGTATATGAGACATGGGATGGGAAATATTATAGCCATCTTTGGAAAACGTGATGTACTATGGAGCTTATGTAAGTATTTATATGCACTCACATCTGAGGTAATCTCTTTCAGTCTCATAAATTTAATTAAATGCCATATACAAACTAATGAGTTCCAAGTCTATATCTCCAGTCCTGACTTCCGCCCTGAGTTCTAGATCTATATATTCAACTGCCTACTTGAGATTTCCACTGAATGTTATGGCAGAGATTTTTAGTTGTCTCACAACATCCAATCTTATTCTACAGTGTTATAATTTTGGATGAACACATGGTAACTCAGAATAAAGCTTATCATTTACCCCTACCCTCACTCCTGATGTTTGGTGTAGTTATGTCACAAAATTTTGGCTAAGAGGATAAAAGGGAGTGCTGTTGGACAGCTTCTGAGACCCTTTGCTCATTCTTCTACCTTTCTCCATTCTGATGCTTGGACTAGAGCTTAATCTTGAACTAGGAGATGATGTCCACACTCCAGATCTCATAGAGAAGAAAGTTGGAATGATTTTCTTCCTCCAGGCTCTTATGCGGAAGAGATTAAAAACTCTATCTTATTTAAGCTACCTAACTTACAGTTAAACCTAATCATTTCAGACTGGACATGGCAAAACAGAACTCCTAATTTCCCTCTGTTAATCTGCCTGTTACTTGGATGTCTTCATATTCGTAAATCACACCCATATTCACTCAATTGCTTAGAAATCTAGGAGTTACCACTAATTCCTTCCTTTCTCTTGGAGTCCACATATATGACACATGTAAATCCCAACATCTCTACCTTTAAAAACCTAACTACTTCTACTATCATGGTTTAAGCCGACATCATCTTTTACTTAAACTACTCCTGTCCCTAACTGTGTCTCTGCTTCCACTTTTGCTTCCTTATAACCCATAAATACATCAGATTATATCACTAGCTGCTTCAAAACCATCTACTGGCTTTCTGTCACACTTGGGAAGACATCTTAAAGGCTTACCATGGTCAAAGAATCCTACACCATGTAAGACCTGGGTATCTCGAATCCCATCTCCTACCTGTCTCCTCCTTGCTCACTCCATTCCCTTCCCAGTGATCTTCTTGTTGTGCCTTAAATATTCCTGCATCAAGGCCTTTGCAAATGCAGTTCTTTCTGCCTGATACTCCCTCAAATTTCTACTTGGTTCACTCCTTTACTTTCTTAAAACTTCTGCTTGGATGGTACATTGTCAGAATGAGCTTTCTTGACTATTCTTTCTAAAACTTCACTCTACTCTCTATCACTCTCCACTTCTTACCCAGTGTTATTTCATTTATTGCTACTTAATGTGTATGTGGTAGATGCTGTGATGTGCCACACAAATTTCTCCCCTTCAGAACTGAAGTACACATTCCTCCAGCTACTTGGAGTGTTGGTGGTACTTCTTAGCTGAATGTCCCACTGAGTCCTGTTAGCCATGAAACTCTTAGCCTTGATGGAAGACTGTTGCCTTGCCCATCTTCACTTCCCCTTTCTGGAGGCAGCACACATCTACTGGCTGTTGATGTGGAAGAATAAAAGCCTGGCCATTTTGCTTCAATGGAGAGCCACTCTGAAGAGCCGCTTCAGCTTCAGAGCTCCCCATGGGACCTGCTAAGGCTCCTGTGGAGACTCATCACAGCCCATCTTCTCCCTTTGCCACTCCTGCTTAATTTACTTCTCCCTCAGCACTTCATAGGAATGGGCTCTGAGAGTGCTTCTTAGTAAATGTCAGTCTCCTCCCTGAAGAAAATAACCTAGGACACATATTTTTACTTGTCTCTTGTTTATTGTTGATATCTCCCAGTAGAATGCAATCTCAATGAGGGCAAGGATTTTTTATCAGTTTTGTTTGCTACTGAATCCCAGTACCTAGAACACAGAGCTTCAAAAATATTTAATAAATAAATGGCCTTGTTTAGGATGACAAAACTAGTAATCCTTGAAGCTAGAGTTCAAACTAAATTTGGAATTCAGAGCTGTTCCTCTCTCACACTATAAGTGGAATGCAGGGTTTCTCAACAGAAGAACCAGATAATCTTGGACCAGATAATTTTTTATTGTGGGAGCACTCCTGTGCCTTATAGGATGCTTAGCAACATCCCTGGCCTCTGCCTACTAGATGCCTGTAGCATTCCCACCTCACCCCCAAGTTGTGATAACAAAAACTGTCTGCAGGTATTGACAGGTATTCCTCGGGGGCAAAATTGTGCCCAATTGAAAATCACTGGCCTACGGTGGTTTTGACTGATTGGCAATAATATTCCACTCACTAATATTAAAAAGTTCTAATAGTAGTTCATGTTTCCTGCTGAAAGTTTGTTTCTTTGGTTGTTTCACATCCATAAATACACTTTAATGGAGATCTGATTTCACAGAGTCATGTGAATAACTACTGTTTTTACAAATGGGGATGGCTAGCATGATTTTCAGGGCTGATGTGAGTGAAGCCACTGGGTAACAGAAAGAAACACATATGCACTGTTATAATTAGTGTGTCTGTTTTAGGCTGCATATCAGTTTACAGAGCTTTGCCCATGTGTGTTGAAGACAAAAGAAAGACTTTAGGAATGAGAATCCAGCAATGAATTGTAGGATATTTTTGTCAAGGTAAATTAATCTTCCTTTTGCTTTCATCCTTTTGTTTCAATTCATTCTTATTAAACTTTCATAGAAAATATCCTGTGTTTTTGTATTATCATCCATACTACCTTCTTTTATTGAAAAATCCATAAAGTAAAGGGAATCAGTTTTCATGCTGTCTTTGAAAACACCGGGCACTATGCTTCAGAATTATTTTTGTTGCTTCTGCTGATGATAATGGTTACACTATATAACCTCATGCCAGATATAAATAGTGAAGTGACAATTATACTGCATACAATGGAATGTATCACCGTTGCTTTTGGCTTCACGGAGTCCTCTGTATTCACACAAAAGAGTGAAGCTACTTACAGGATTTTCGGAAAAAAATGATGTACTTTTCCAAAGAATGGTGGGAGAAGGATATCCTTTCTCATTAGTCACCAGAAATGTGCTTCCTCCTTCCATGTCAAAGGAGAAGTAGAATTGGGTGTTTTAATTTAGTGATTCTTTTGATGTTTTCTGGGGGATAGAATTTCCATTTCTTTCTGATTTTGTATCAACCTTGAATGTGGAATTAAAATAGCAAATCTCTACTTTGTATTTTATATATAAATAAAAATTCTACATATTACATATGTAGCTGATATTAATATGTATTATATACACAATATAATTTTATTACATATTATATTATTAATAATATATATATTTCCTTTTTTCCTCATTAGTTGGGTATGACTTTGATCAAGTTATTTAATCATTTTATGTCTCGGTTTCCTCATGCGTAAAATAGGAATAAGAATAGAATTTATCTCATAAAGTTGTTTTGGACATGGCATGAATATAATGCATAGGTACTTAGAATATTATACACAGTGTATACACTCAATAAACCTAGCAATTGTTAATATTATATTCTTTCTCTCTCTCTTTCTATATATATGCACACACACATAACTATGATTTTTAATTTATACTACATAGGTTTATTGAATATTAATTACGTGCCATGATTTTACTAGGTGAGCATTAGAAACATAGTGGTAGACAAGTTTACTTTGGTCCTTCTGTCACAGAGCATACATTCCAATGAGGATGACAAACCAAAACCAATTTCATAAACAAATAAAAAATAACTGCAATTCATAAGAGCCAAGATAGAAACCAGGTAGAGAATAAAGCAGCCAGGGTAGAGAATAAGGAGGGTAAGGGTGAGAGGCCTCTTAGGTGCTCAGGGAATGCCTCTCTGAGAAAGTGGTGTCAGAGCTGAGACTGGAGGGCTTGTGTTATGTGGCCTCATGGCTGTGGATGAATGAGTACAGTTATCATGGATTTGCCTGACCAAATGCAGGTGACATATCTTCCATAGCTCTTGTTATTCTCCATATCCCTTTTGCCATCACAATGGGAAATGGGGCTTAGAAATATATACAGACACTTTCTCACCAATTGACTTAACTGGGGGCTAACCATTAAGTAGTGAATCCCCCAGACCACTCACTTTTGGTTAGGGTTTGAGTTATTTTGAGTTAGGGTTCATGGAAGTCATTTGGGATGTGAAAATGCAATCAGGTTTTTTTTTTTTTTTTTTTTTGAGACGGAGTCTCGCTCTGTCACCAGTCTGGAGTGCAGTGGTGCGATCTCGGCTCACTGCAAGCTCCGCCTCCTGGGTTCACGCCATTCTCCTGCCTCAGCCTCCCGAGTAGCTGGGACTACAGGCGCCCGCCACCACACCCGGCTAATTTAATTTTTTTGTATTTTTAGTAGAGACGGGGTTTCACCGTGTTAGCCAGGATGGTCTTGATCTCCTGACCTCATGATCCGCCCGCCTCGGCCTCCCAAAGTGCTGGGATTACAGGCGTGAGTTACCGCACCCGGCCTATGCAATCAGGTATTTGTAATAATGAAAGCAGTAATTCAGAAATATGTTAAGCCTGACAAAAGTCTTTTCTTGCTGGCAGCTGCAGCTGTCTGGGTCCCTAGAGGTTCATCTTACTTACTGAAATGTGGTTTTTAATTTTAAACCAAGAAAAACAAAACTCCAATGTATTTGATTTTTCAAAAGAAAAAGTTATTTAACAAGTCAAAATGAAAGTAATATATGCATAAAGAGTACAGAAAGTTTAATATGAGAACTAAAACTCACCTTTTTCTTCAGGCCACCACTCCTTGTCCCCAGTGATCTCTTCAAGGGTAACCACTTAGATTCTTAGTAATTTTTATAGAAAATTTAGCATGGATATCATACATCTGTGTGTGTGTGTGTGTGTGTGTGTGTGTGTGTGTGTGTGCATTCCAAGTCTTCACAAATGGGGTTGTATTATAAATACTGATATATACCTGGCTCTTTCACTTAATCAGAAGGCTAAGTGACCATCTGTTTGAGTCCCTAGAAATATACTGTTTTTTTATGATTGTACAATGTCTTTTTTTATGACAGTATCACAAAATATTGTATTTTAGTCTTATCAATAAGTCTTTGGATTATTTTCCTGATTATTTTTATTATAAATAATTCTGTAAAGAACATTCTAGTCAGTGGGAATATTATCTGTTCAGTAGGCTCAATTTCTAACAATGGAATCGCTGAGTCAAAGAATGTTTATTCATTGTTGATTTTGATCATTACTAAATTTTACCAATCTGTAAGGTGAAAACTTATATGTGATTTGAATTTTTTTTACTTTTGATTCAGATTGATACCTTTTGCTGATTACTTGTCATTTTATTTTCATTTCTTTGAATTGCTTATTTACATTAATTGATCAGTTTTTTATTATCTTTTTTCTGGTCCTTTTCTTACTAATTTGTACAAGCATTGTATAAATTAGAAAATTAGCTCTCAACTGTCAAAATATGATGCCAACCTTTTCTTTTTTGTTATTGATCTTTTAACTTTCTATTTTTTGGCATTTTTCTTAATAGTTCCTTGGTTTTGTGTCATGTTTAGGAAGGCCTTTCATATTACAAAATTAAAGAAATATTTCCCCATGTTTTCTTTTGATACATTTATGGTTTCATTTTGTAATTCAAAATTTCAGATCCATCTGGAATTTATTTTGGCATAAGGAGTCATTTCCTTTTCAAAATGATGAAGCAGTTGTCACCATATTATTTATTGAATAATATGTTAATGACTCATTATTACTCTAATAAAGTGTATGGCTTAGATTTCGGAATCAGAAATAACTAAATTCAAATGTTGGTGTGAATGTTCTTTTGTTAGATTTAATATAGGCTTAATAGTGTAGAGTCACAATATCTTAACTGAAGCTCTTGGCACCACATGCATTATACTTCACTATGAAGGATCTCTACCTGCATTCCCTGGTTGAACCTGCTAATTAGGAGGTTTACAGGGTGTCAGGTCATGGTGGCTGTCATCTCTTCCTATTGGTATCCACTGAAATCCCCATATTTCATAAGGTTTCTGGTTGTTGATCTACTTAGATCTCTTTCCAAGCCCTGAATAGTCTTCATTCTCTCAGATACTCTCAGCTCTCATTCTCTCAGCTACTTCTGAACCCCTTCCCTTGCGCAGGACATATTTCTCTATTCTTCTGAATCTTTATGGGTGGGACTATGGGGAACTTTCTGCAGTTATCTCAGACCCCTATTGCCCAGAATTTCCATGCAGCCATCTTTATTACAGTGTTCCCTGTGGCAGGCTGGTGTCTGGGGATATTCTGTGAGGCTTACCGCCTCTCTGACCTCCGCCCATGGTATCTCTCCCTTCTCAGATCCACTAAAGTTATCTGGAGGCTCCAGTCTTATCAACCATCCTCTTGTTCAGACACCCAGAGCATCTCAAACCCCGTTTTTACCTTTTGCATGCTCCTCTTCTTTCCGTCCCAGTGGCAAACTTCAGCTCTGTCTGGGGATGGCTGGGTAGGAAAAACTGGTTCTGAGAAACTTACCATTAAAGATCTTTTTGTCCTATGCCTGGATATCAGCCTTTGGTAATCCAAAGGCAAGGATTTAATTCTTTTGTTCTCTTCACTAAAGTATCAACCCTACCCTAAAGCAAGAGACATCTCAAAGTCTTTGATAGGGAAGAGACACAGGTTAAGAAGGAATCACTGAAGAGAAAGCACATTAGTTAATATGTTGGAATTCTAGTCCTCTATGTTACTATGATATTCAATACTATAGAAAAACCAACTTTCAGAGTTAAAAAAAAAGATTAAACAAAGCCAAATTTATTACTTTTCCAGGTTTAATAAAACAATTTTAAGGGGTTTCATAGTCATCATTATAAAAAATGTCAACATAGCCATTCAATGAACTTAGTTGGACTTTAGCCAATTGGTGAATATTATAAATACCTGCAAATATGTTTCATTATTAGGTGTTGCCATCTTGGCCCTGCTTCCTACAGAGTTATAAATTCTCTCATCATTGACTCCTGGTCCACAGAATATCTTTGTTATACCTAATAGAAACACCCCTAGGTATCCATTATTGTGATGTATTTTTCCTTTTCTCCTCCAGCATTCCAATATCCTGGTCTCTCATAGTCAAAATTTTCTATTGGGAGAAAGCAATTGAAGGGCTGCCTTAATTATTCAGATTTATTTTTCCTTGAAATGTATTTTGAAGATTTTGATTTTGGCAGTAATGAATTTCATACGAACATTTTACTGGTTATCAAAATAATTTGCAAGAACCAACTAGGGCCATAATGTTGAATAAAAAGTATTTAAAATATTCTATAGTACATTAAGATTTTTCACTTGAAATTATTATGCAGTATGAAATGGATAATTTTTGACTGCTTGAAAATATTTCAGTCACTAAACTAAGTTTAGATTTAGATTTCCCAAAGCCAAGAAAATGTTAACATGATGTTCCACCTACAATTTTAGGAGGAAGTCTATATAATTCTTGAATTTAAATGTGGATCACTAATTATAGTTATAACACTAAATTATTCCTGAGTGGGTTTGTTTAGTATTCAAATGTCATCCCAGAGGAGGAATCTTTTATCTATAGAGCTGTCATAGATAAGCAATATAATTCGAACCCTCTTTCTAACTAAAATTTATTTTTAACTTGAAAGAACACATCACACTGCCCACCCACTTACTCACTGAGAATTGTGCCAGTGTGTGGAATCCCTGCTACAAAATTAGCTAAATTATTTTGCCAGGAATTCAGGGTAAGCTAAGTTCATTTTGGACCTTGTCCAACAAAATTTATTTAGAGTTAATACTAGAGAAGAATCTCACTTGAAAACATTTCACCTATATGTATGCGGTGTCTTGGTAGACAGGGTGCCTGAGGACAGTGGCATAGCAACTTTCCAGTGAGGTAATTTAATTTGTTAAATTAAATAATTAGATTTATTCCTCATGTTGCCTTGGGGTGATGAGGAGGAGTTAAGGACATGGAGAAAAAAGGGCACAGTAAATTTTGGTGGTTATTTTTAAGTCTGATTAATGATGTTTTAACTGCAGGTCATAGATTTAGCCGATGGACTTTCGCAATTCAGGAAAACTGTCAGAGAAGACTCATTCTCACTGAAGGTTCATTTAGGTTGTCAGTAGCAAAGAAAAAGATATTGTACGAAGCTGCCTTGGAGGCACTCGCATAAAAATTATGTTACCATTTATCTATAGTTGCATTGAGTTATTCTTATAAACTGATGATACTACCAACCCAAATTGACAATTCTTGAGAATACACACACACACACGCACATGAAAAGTTTTCATAAAAATGCTGTTTGATAATTTGTGTCCTGTTATCTCTAACAAGTAAACAGGTAAAAATAAAATACCTTCATGCGGTGAAGAAGTATAAACTGAAAAATAGACTCCTATTTTGAAACCTAGAAAAAAGTTGTGCTTTAAACTTTTCTCTGTCAAATGAGAATTGCTTAATTCTTATACTTAAGGAACGTGGGAAATGAAAAGGCAGAATGTATAGTGTTGGTCCTTTGATGGAATTTCTGAGAAAAAACAAACTATTCCAGATGATGACTAAATCACATAGTTTTAAATCTTCTGTAGATTTTTAATGGTTTTTTTTCAAAAACGCATATTGTTCAATATAATAAATATTTGTAGAGTCAGGAAAATGACAAATTCTTTCTTCCTAACAATTTTACAATGAAAAGTAATGGTAGTCCAACTACCGAAAATTCTAAGAAATTTGTGGCTTTCAGTTGTGACTATGACAAAGAAAGTGACTACAGAATGTGTCACATTCCATCAAAGTCACTCAGGGCTTTGTTACTCTTTAAAAATGCTTCTTGGTGGATTCACAAATGTGCAGTATGATACAAAAAAGAAAAAAATCACACCAGTTAGTATCTTTGCTAGAGTTTTGTAGAAATTTAAGATTATGATAATCCCCACCATTCATCCTTTTGAACCACAAAATTATAGAAACTTGATTTATACTCTACAGTATATTTTTTGATGGCTTAAAGTATAGAATGCAACTTATTTATCTGTGATTCTTCTAGAAGGGTAGGGAAGAGAAATCATTTTAAAAAGTGTATCAGAAACCAAGCTGAGAAGAGTTGAGGAGCACATCTGGGCTGGATTCACGTCTATGTAATTCACTGTGAGAATTCCCATTGAATTACACAGGACAATAATTAGACCCAGAGAAACAGATCAGTACTTTTCTAACTTAACATTTTTATCGTCATTTCCCCCACCACACACACTCTTTTAAGTAGTTATTTGCAGGCTTACCAATGATAATTTTTAAGTATTTGAATATGTTAAATTAAATATTCAGTTATGATAGTTAAGTAAATAAAGCTGTTGAGTTCTGTCTTGCATGTACGACTCCCTTTCTGACTTTCATAAACATTCAGAAGACTCCAGCTCATTCAGAGAATTTTCACTAAGAATTTATTTGCTTTTTAAAATACAGAAAAGTCATAAAATAGAAAAAGTTTAGGCAAAGACTTCCCTTTGCCTGCTTGGGTGGATGAATGAATGAACTAGTGCATCACACTGACTGCCTGCTCTGTGTCAGGTTCTACTTGAGGCCCCAGATACTAGCAAGCCCTCCAGGTTCTCACAGTCTAATGAGATGTAGCAATGTAAACAGCTACTTTTTATATGATGTGAAAAAACAGAAGTATTAATGAAATGCTGTGGGAACATAAACTAACTAGGGAGTAGTAATTCTGCCTTGGTGGTACTTGGGTTTTGATTTTGATCAGAGAAAATTAGAACAGGTAATATTTAAGGTAGTTTTGAAGAATGAGTAAAATTTTCCAGAAAGTTTGGGGAATGTAATTCCTGGTAGAGGGAAGCCTGTGAATAAATGCAGTGGCAGGAGCATTCACAGTGTGAGATTCTAACCGGTGTGGACATGTAGAGAGTCAAGTGTGAGGCGATGAAGGGAGTGAGAGAGGAGTAGGTAGCATGGGGACCTGGAAGGTAGGTGGAGGCCAGATGAGGAGGTTCTATCCTCAGCATTTTTTTCCTCTGTCCTCTAGGCTCCTTACCTATTTTGGGTCATGGACCTCTTAGGGCAGTGGTTTGCAAAATTCATTGCGTATTAGAATCACCTACGGAGATTTAAAAAATCGTTCAGAAACCTAGGCCACATCCCATAGAGCCTCTGGGAATGAGATCCAGGACTCAATAATTTAAAAATCTCCAGATGCTTTCAGTGTAAAATAGTGCTTCTCAGAGTGTGGTCCCATGATCAGCAGCATTAGTATCAGCCAAGAACTTGGTAAAAATGCCAATTCCCAGACCAAAATTCAGACCTAGTGAATTTGAAACTATGATGGGGTCCAGCAATCTGTGTTTTAAAAAGCTCTCCAGGAGGTTTTCATGTATGCTAAAGTTTGAGAGTCACTGTCATAGAGAATCTAATGAAGCTGATAGTTTTTCCAGAACATGTACCGCATGTTGAATTTTAAACATAATTCTAGGTGGTAGATGGAAATTCCCTCTGATCCCTTTCCATTTTCTCCCCCAAATCCTGGAATCCAGGTTAAGAATTCTTTCTCTGGGCAGTGAGTGCCACTGACAATATTTCAGTAAAAGAGGGACAGGAGAAACTTTGGTTATAGAATGATGACTGCTGTAATTTAAACAATGAAATGGAATGGGGAGAGGCTGAAGTTAACCACATCATGCAGGAGGTTTTGGGATTATAAAATAAAATAGAACATGGTGACACAGAGGTTGTGTGTGGTGATCGAAAGGGAACAGAAAATGATTCCAAGGTTTCTAACTTGAGCTCAGAGTGAATGAAAACTACTTGGGAGAGGGACTATAAAAAGAGAAGGCTTGGAGGCAAATAATGGTAATTACTGGACATGTATGGGGAGTGCATTAAAAACAGGTCTAGAGCTTAGTTGAGAGATGTAGGTTGTGGATAACTATATAGCCACATATATAAACAGGTAGATGTAGACCATTTCTCATCCTCTGTTGACATTTTGGGTCTGCTAATTCTTCATTTTAGAGGGATATTTTGTGCATTTTAAGCTATTTATTGGCATTCCAGCTCTCTATCCACTAGATGCCAGCAGCCAATACCCTCTGCAGTGATGACAACCAAAAATGTCTTCAGACATTGCCTAATGTCTTTTGGTGGCAAAATCATCCCCCATTGAGAACCACAGGTGTAAATGAAACCTGGCGAGTAGATGAGATTATTATTGACTAAGTGGAGGGCAAGTGGTGAAGGAGGATCCATTAAGTGTTCATAAAGATTGGGAGAAAGTGGCATCAAGACAGCACAAAAAGGCTGAGTTCCCCAAAGAAGGTGGTTGGGTATCAAACACTACCCAGGAGAATAAGAATTGAGAAGAGGCCTTTGGATTTGGTGATCCGGGGATTATTGTGAAACAGATTCAATAGACAGCTATTGAAGAGTGACGTGAAAGTGACACTGCAGGAGGTGGAAGAATAAACAAGAAAAAGTGGAGATTGCGAATCTAGATTACTTCTCTAAGGGATTGGTTAGGAAAAGATAGAAGAGGAGAAAGAGGCAAAAAGAATAGGGAGATTGCTTATTTTAGGACATAAGAGACTAGCAAACATGGTGGACTGATAGGGAAGTGCCAGTGTTTCCAGATAAATATAGAGCTTTAGGCTGGCCCAGAATCTTTTCTTTACTAAGAGCTCAAAATACAGATAATATTAATTATGAAGGAGAGTATGGAAATATAAATTATAGCAGCAACATATTGAATAATTGCAACAAGTATAGGTGTTGCTTATTTCATGTCTATCATCTAACTATTAATTTTTACCAGATAAAACTAGTACATTAGGGAATACATTTAATCTACAATACAGGAAAGTCCTGTTGATATGATTTTGCCTGTGGGCTGGGTGACTGTATTAGTAGTGATGATTTTCTTTTTTCTTTTTTAGCTTCTGTCTTTAATCTTTTCTTTTGCTTCTTCATAACCAGCATGAGTGCAGGGGACACACATACCATTTGGTACAAGCCTTATTTGTCTTGCCTTGGGTCTGGAACCACTTTTGCAGTAACACATTTAGAAAAGAGAAATCAAGAGCAAAAAAGGCTTCAATATAGTTTATTTTTTTTTGCCAGTAACTTTCTTGTTGCACAACTATTATATATGAAATTATTCTTTCTAAACATGTGTGTGTGTGTGTGTGTGTGTGTGCACGTACTCATGTGTTTCAGTTCCCAGGTTCTTTTCATGGCTGCACAACTTAGCTGCAAGGCCTTAGGTGCCTTATTTATTCTTTCCAGATTTCATGTCCATCATCTGCACAATGAGCAGGGGGGAATCTATGTGCTTTGAGGTTGTTTCTGGCTTTAAAATTCTATAATTGTATGATTTTCTTTCTGCATTATCTTTGTTTGGTGAGAGCTTGCCTTAATCTGATCTATTCCAGAGCAAAATCTCTCAGGTTGACTTGAAGCTTTAATTTTTACTCTGGTTTTCACACCTTTTTGTTTATTAGGTCATAAGTAATGAGCTCTGAATGCTTAAGAACCTGTTCAAGTTCACATTAGTAGCTTATCAGGGTTGTAGATAGAGTGAAAACAAATTCGGGCTTTCCTATTTTCTCATTGCAGTATTTAAATCCAGGAGAACATGTTACCTATGAAAATGTAGAATCTTTGCATGTCTGTCTTTTCTTCAAGAGATTACAAAACATTTTCCAAGTGTAATAAATGAATCCTTTCCTTATGAATCCCATTTGTAAACAACTGGATTGATAGGTTCTAAGCACCTTAATAGAGAGTGATGTGTGAGTTTATTTCTACCACTAGATATTGTAACTGTGATAAATGAATCAACTATTTATAATGGTAAGTTGATTCTCCAGAGATTGCATTTAAATTTATTAGTATAATTTGCATTAGCACTCCTAACTTTAAAACTCTTCTTAAATTCCCTCACCCTTGTGACTGATACTCAGTAGGTGGGAAGGATTATCACAGGGGAATGATTGGCTAGACAATGGGTTGTCCTAAATAATATAGTTTTTCTTGGGATAAGAAGTGAACAAAGTTTCTTTTGTCCTGGAAGTTAAATGGGACTTTTTTTTCAATCTAAGATATAAATTGCATTCCTACATTAAGTTATGTGTATGGCAACGAAGGCACTTGCTTATATTTTTAAGGTAATGATTTCATTCTTTGCATGACATTCTGTCCATTGAAATTGAGTAAAATGTTTTGTTATATAAAATTTGTTCCTCACAGCACGCTGACTGTTAGGTGTTATAGTTGTGTAAACTGAGTCCAAGATATTAGCAGGCTTATGTTTACATGGCAAATTCGAAGCAGGATTGCTTTGAGATATAAAAAACGTTCTGAATATATGGGTGTATTATCCACTCATCCTTTGACTATGAGTGGGAAAGGGAAAAGCGGGAGAAAAATAGGAGAGGGGAAATGAAGAAAGGTACACAGCTGAGTAAGGAGGACTAAAGAGGTATTTACACCCACTGAGAAAACAATGATTTAAAGGTGCTAAAAACAAACTGGAGAAGTGTTCCTACTTCAGGATCTGGAGGAAAAGGAAAAGATTTAAATCATTTTAAGCAAACATTTCAAGCAGGACCAGGACTTCAGTGAATACTACTCCAGGGCTAGCTTTTATTATCTTTTCAATTTTATTATTATGACTTATTAGCACTGGCTGGATTCATACTTTTTGGAGAATTATTTAACTGTTTTGTGTCAACATATCTATGTATAAAATCTGGAATAGTCTAAAACTTGGGGGATGGACCAGTATAACCACAGCTTCAGCTCTTCTTCGTTATATAAAAGAGCTGGCAGTACCCTTTTTTTGTTTCTCTTCTCATGGCCTTCTTATTTATCATTTTTTCCTTTCTGCTTTTTAAAAAAATCTAGAATACATTTCTTTATCCAAATTCTGTATTTTCTTCTTAACAGAGCTCCAAACTTACATTCTCCATGAAAACTTTGATGGATAAACCAAATGCATAAATATCTTTGCCTTATTTCTAACCTCTTTGACCCTGATATATTCAGTTCATATCAACAAGTTGTCATTGTCTTCCAGATTGTCTAGTTATGTCATAAATATGTGTTTCAACTCCCCAAGTAGGAACTGATTTTCCTCCTTTTTGTTCATCTCCTATAACATTGAGCACAGTGCTGGGCCCCAAATACTTCCGGAATGAATCATGACAAGCTGAAGACTGTGTAAAGATAAAAAGAAAATCATACTGAAGCTCTTCTGGCAAAAGGTCAGTTGAAATTTATGACAAATGTCAGTAGCTGAAGACGAGATATGGGTGTTGTTCCCAGATATGAAAGGGAGATGACACCAACACAGAGAAATGTGAAGCAATTGTTCTGTATTCTTAACAGTCTGTGTATAATCCTAAATGATACACATGGGTTGGCATAGTGTGCTCAGTTTGATTCCAGGGATATCTCAGGCTTATTTAACAATGCTACCCTTAGAACAACATTAGCATACTAATCTATACTACTGGCCGCGAACCACATTCCTTGGTATCTTTTAACTGGATGGATTGAGACTATTGCCCCAGATAGCCAGGATAATATTTAGCATGGTGGCCTAGGATTTTAAAAGGGCAGTATCAGGGGGGAAAGTCATGGATTTAAATCATTTTTCTTTTCCAGGGTTCTTACCAACAACACACCCAGTAAAAAAAAAAAAAAAAAAAAATCATCTTCTGAAGTTTAAATATCTCTTTCTTTTCTCTTGCTTGTGCTGGATTATCACTCCTGTGCACTTCACTGAGCTTGAAAATTGCAAAAGAAAGACACAGCTTCCCCACCCCCCAGCTCCTAAACTACTCTGTTTATAGTCAGTTTGCCTCCCTGGATCTTATGTTTTAACACATGCTGTAGTGTTCAGATTGCAAACACAGCGAAGGGATGTTTAAATCCTAAAAACAAACTGTTTTCATTGCAATGTGCAAAACAGCATTCCATGAAGACATTTCAATTAATATTAGCTGAGTGAGGGGAGTCCTCTCTCTGTGGCCTGTTCAGTGTTTGGCCTCTCTCTGCTGAGACTGCCAACCAGGGTGCTGCCAATTAATGCCAGCTGTGATCTATTGTTTGCTTCTGACACCTGGGAAGTCCCAGATCATCAGACTCCTGCAAACAGCAGCTGGCTTAGTGGAGGCTGCCAGACTTCGGGGATTCTGAGATCTCTCAGCGAAGGTAGGGGGCCGTCTTGTTTTAGTTAAGGGGATAGTCCGGAATAGCCAGCTTAAAACCCCAGATGACTTACATTAAACAACCCCCAAATTTGGGGAGGATCAGCCCAAGTCTGTAAGCCTCGTATCTTACTCTAGGTTCCCATAGGGCAGTCTTTTAAAAAATAAACAAATGTTCCTAATCCTTTCTTATAAAGTCCCAACAAGTCCCTGTTATGCTGTAAAGGTATTTTCAGGACTCCATACTTCTACAGGAGGTTCTCAATTTGGTCCAATTGTGCTATAATTTAATTTTACACGTGTTGAAAATGTGTATGCCCTTTCTTTGCCTAAAACCCTAGCCTTCTATTACAGTACTCACTCTGATCTTCTTACTGATAAGACCTAAGAGCCAACCTTTACTGAGTGCTTATTATGTGCTAGGCACTGAGCCCTTTACAAGTTTTATCATTTTATTTCATTTATTTTTAATAAGCATGTTTGATCATAGTAATGATGTCAAGTGGATGAAAAGTCAGTTGGGTACAAGGGTTTCTTTTTTTAACCTTCAAATATTATTGTTCTTAAATGATAACCATGTTTTATTCTGACTTGGGCCCGCTTTGAGGAAGAACTTGAGCAAGTTATGCTGCCTGACTGTATTTCACTGTGGTGGGGTTGTTAGATGAGCTGTCTCATTCTTTCTTTTTTGGGGGGTTTTGAGAGAGTTCTGATGTTTTTGCCTAGTCCTCTGGAATTATAAATGTCAGGAAGACAGAAGCTACCTGTCTGTGTCATATTAGTGCCCTTCCTACAATCTGTAAATTCTAATAAGGCCCTGTAGGAATAGCAGAAAATACCATAGACTCTTTCTCCTGAGAGAGACAATGTTGAGACGGGTGGTAACCGGCCCAGTAAGTCTGGCCCAAAAATATGACTAGATCTTCTGTCTCCTGATGCCTTCTTTGCATCCTGAATTCTTTTCATATGGATGCCCTTCAAAGCTGGCTGGTAGCCCTCCTTCTACTCGGGGCTCCTAGGCTTCAGGGTTGGAGCCTGCTGATGGTGTTAAACACACAGTGACTTTATGGTGCTGGTCATTGAGGCTAAGGTGAAGCCAGTTGCACTTGATTTATTCAGTACATGATTCCATGTCTCAAGAAGTGAAAATCCAGTGAACTGAGCCTGTGCCCTAGTTCTCATTAACAACTTAATCCAAATCCACTTGAAATGCTCACTCTTGAAGTCGTCAGTGATGATGGCATGATTTGTTTGCTGAGGTCTGTTAGTTCAATAGGATAATTATAAATAGAATTTATAAACAGTTCCGAATAATACTCTATTTCTTGTAAATCAATGTAAAATTTCCCAAGGAGTTGAAATTAATTTTACGTTTGTGCGATATACAAATAAGTGAGAGCCCTTCAGTGTTCAGTGCTCAGTGTGCAAAACTACAGAGTCATCTCACATGTTTCTTTGAAATAAACTATGTAAAACTAAGAAAGTGGGAAAGAAAAATTAGAACAAAAGATATTCTAGGTGATTTCTTATAGTCATATCATGATCAGGTTAATTTATATAAGACACTTGATACATTTCATCTACATCAGCTTGTTTAGAAGTCTAGAGTCAAAGCCTTCTCTGATCCAGACTTGGTGGACTATCTGAGCAGAAGAATGTGCTGGCAGGCTGATTGAGCTATGTCATTTTATTGAGGGTTTGATCCAGGAAAGAATTAAAACCATACTTTGCTCTACCCCCTATACAGTCATTTAGTACTAGAAGTTTGCTTCTATAAACAAAAGGCCGTCATCACTTCTTCCTCTGTTCTTTAGATCTTTGAAAATCAAGCCAATTCACAGTGGCCCTATATGTAATTTTTATAGCCTAAAGAACATATCAGAAGTATCTGTCTAATCTCCCTATCCACCCTCCACTATTAGATCTAGAAAAGGCACGAGCATCATATAAAATTCATGCCAGAAAACTATCTTTATATTAACTATAATTATTCTAACTATAATTATTCTGTGTTGGCATTTTTCTTCTGCTGCCCTTTATTACATAAGTGGGAAAACTATGATTTTAAGTAAATGAAATAGCCACTGAACTAAAATAAATGTGACTTGATACATATTCTCTTAATGAAATGTCTGTTGGAGACTAGAATAACGTTTTGGGATACTAGCCAAGTCAAACCTTAAGACTTTTTAGGTTTGACTGATGCTAGGGAGCTGCTGGATTCTGGAAATAAAACAAAGGTGTTTTACACCTGATAGAAATTATTGAACATGTCGAAGACAGGTTCAAAGGTATTTTCATTTCAACTTAAAAAAAGTAGTGCAGGGAACATAGGTAAGCTTAGAATATGGCTATTTTTAACTGAAACTGTACTGACTTTCTTTTTGAAGATGCTGATACAACTTCTGACACTGTTGGTGATGAGTGGTGCATAACAGCCGTTTCAGCTCTGAGGCTATCAAATAGTGAAAGAGAATCTTCTACATACAAATCCCAGGACACCAGAACAGCTCTTAACAGCCCTCACTTTCCTGAGTAAGCTGAAGGTGGCTAACTAAAAGGCCTGAGAGAAATTACTGCCTAAACAATGAAGGAAGGAGAAAACCCCCAAGGAAGACAATGTAAAGATTAAGTAACAAGGTTTCAATTTGATACAATGTGGGGAATTTCAGTTTAATTCTAATTTATACTAATTTCTCATAATTGTCTTGATCCTTTACGTAGAGATCGGTTTGGATAAAGGAATCATAGCTATGAGAAGGCAGTTAGTTACTCAGTGAATCCAAATGGCAAATTCTCTGATGAGAAAGGGGATGTCCTCAGGGAGGTCTAATCATATGTTTTCTTAAACCAAACTCTTTTCCTTTTCATTAGGCTTTCTTGAGGCAATTGGCTAATTAATGATAATAAATAGTTATTGAGCATCACAGATATTCTAAATCCTCCAGTGTCATACATTTGGAAGGAAAAAAGACCAGTAGATAAACTTAGGAAGAGTGTGTGTGTGTGTGTGTGTGTGTGTGTGTGTGTGTGTATGTGTAACAAACATGCCTTAAAACCAGGAATTGTGGTTGTAAACTGGGAAGACATACATAAAAGATGGGATGGCTTAAGTCACAGAGACAGACAGAAACTTCACTTTGTGTGATCATGCAGAGCTCTCCTTATATATAATAGGTGTAAGAATAATCATTTCCACATCTGTATTTGGACTTTGGCCCCATCTCTTAAATCAGAGTTATAAATTCTGTGAAGCTGATTAATCTTATTTTATGGGTAGCTGTAAATAAAGAGAAAGGCTGTCTTTCAGCCTTACTTAAGGAAAAACAAGAAATCTTTGCAAAATAGAAATTTGGGAAAGGATGTTGAGAGGGTATGATGGTAGGTACACGGGAGACATACTGGGTTTGCTCTTGTTATCTAGGGAATGGAATGAGGGTGTCTTTTCAAAGCAGGGGGTAATAAAAAGAGCTTAGGCTTTGGGGTGCAGCAGCTCTGACTTTGGATCCTGGCTCTCCACTGACCAGCTTTGTGACTTTGGACATGTTACTTAACCTCTCTGACGCCAAGTTTTATTTGTAAAAATGGAGATAATACCCAGATTACAGAATTATTTTGGGAATTAGGGATGATTATAAAAGTACACAGGGATGATTAGTAAAGTACACAGTGTTTGGCACTTAATAATCGGTAGCTGTTATTATTGATATTACTGTTTGATTGCAAAGCTGAAAAGGCCTCAGAAATCACAATCAGATGGCTCATGTGAGATCATGATGGGGTCCTCTCTTCTGAAAACACATGCTACTTAAGTCTGTGAGAGGAATTATGGATGAATTGTCACAGATTAAACTTTATGAGGTAGCTCTCGTTGGTGCGTGATGGTTTGCACTTTGCTATTCTTCCTTTTCGCATGAGAGAATCTCATCTCTGGAATGAAATTTACCTGGATTTATCACAAGAGCACATGCTTCGAGTTTGATTTGGATGCGATCACCTGTTACCCTGAAATGAAAACTTCTTTTTCTTGTTTTGGGAGAATCTCCCTGGCTTAATTGAAGAAGTTTCCCCTCAAAGATTCATTCAGATTCACTCAGATCAGAGGGTAATCTTCTAATTTAAAAGCCAATTTATGACGAAAATCCTAATGCAAAGAGGCAAACGTGTCTACTAGAGTTGGGCACAATAGATTTGTGTAGTTGTAACATTTTTTGCTACTTTTTTTCCCCAAGCAATCTCAAAAACAACAACAAAAAAGTATGTTAACAAGACTAGTTGAAATTAATACTCTGCTATTAGAGTGTACGCGGACCGGCTCACTCCCTTCTTTTCCACCGTGCTGCACGCTGCAGTTCCTAGAAGACACGACACGCTCCTTCCTTAACGAATTCCATCCCTGAAATCAGTGACGATTGGCATCAGGCCAGGTCGACTTCTTTTGGACTCCTTACAAGACCTTGTTCGTATTTTGTTTTTATTAGTTCTTACTATTCTAATTTCTCTCACTGTCGCATTTTTCATTGGTTTAAGCTCTCAGCAGTCTTGCTTTCTTGCCAACTTAAAAACAAACAAATAAAACCAAGTTAGCACTGGGGCGGGTTTCCCCCAACTCACAGCACTAATTGTATAATCACCACTCAAAAGTCAACAGACTAAGTCCAATTTGTTTTTAAACACGGGCAACTCTTGAGCCTTTGCATTTGGAAATGTCTTTCTGCCCATTTGTTGGATTTAGAATAATAAACTGCCTATGTAAATGAGAGGGTGCCAGCCTTCAGCAGCCCACACCCTCAAACTGCCACTCGACGATTCAAACATACAGTTCTTGAGGAAAAGCCTGTTGTGAAAGTTAATGGTTATAAAAAGCACTTATTTACATCTGTTTTAGTGTAGCCTTGAAGAGTGCAATTAATTAAGAAGTTTCTGGTGTGGTAAGAATAATCATACAGCAGGAATGCAAACACGTGATTTCCAAAGAGAATTTTATTCCATATGGTATTTTTCCCCTAACTAAGAATTAATTGCAACTTTAAAGAAGGTTTGATTGTGTCTATGAAAAACATTTTAACTACTGAGGAATTCTAAATGACTTCAATTTAAAATTTTCTTTTTTTACATTGTTAGAGTCAAGAAATAAGTGCTTTCATCAAGCTCTGAGTTACAGAATTTATTAGAGTAAAGGGAAGAGGATAACCTTCAGATGTCTTCTGTGGTGAAATGTTGAAGTTAAAAATTTTAAATGTTTGCAGACTAAAGACATCCTCGGCTGTGAGGCCTAAAAGAATAAACAAAATGTGACATGTTTTATTTTGTTACTTAACCCTTGTATAAAAAAGCACAACAAAAAATGTATATAAATCATATTTTTATTTCTTTCTGAAAACACGGACATGGATTTTTGGTGATGATCTTCTATGTAGTGGCATCATGCCATAGGTTAAAGAGTGGTTAGTGTGTATGCAAATAGCTTTATTTTGGTATGGCAGTTTCTTAAAGCAGAAAGTTTTAAAGGTATACAACATAAATTCTGTGAAGATATGTTCTTCTCCTTCTGTTGCAATATGCTACGCATTCCAGTATTTTGCTGTAGCCCAGCAATGAACAATGCAAAGAGATGAAGAGGGGAAAAACAAAAACATGGCAGCTGAAAGCAAGACTGGTGGAGAAAGGATGCTCGTTGCTGCCTAGGCACAGAAAGAGAATGTGACATCCTAGAGGAGGGAAAAAGAATAAAAACAACTTGGATACAGGCAGAGAACCTATTTCTATCAAATGCAGTTACAACAGTTGCTGAGAAGAAAATTTCAATCAATAACAAAGAGCTCTTATCACATGCAACTTTAATTTGATTGGCATGACATTTCCATTATATGCTAATGAATTACAGATGATGAGAACGGCTGTTGCCTTCTGAGTGCAATTGAACATTCATCAATCAGTTACTTAAATGCCAGACTGTCTGAAATATTAAAGGAAGTTGTTGCTATTTTGGAGATGAAAGTAAACAAACTGGAAATCTTGAATTAATTGAGAAAAGGATACACGTTGATAAGTAGGATTTGGCAAGTTATTACTTCTCTGAGTGGATGTCAGTGCAGGTATCTTATTCTCAGTGGAATAAGTGTGTCCCTGCAAAGCTAACTGAAAAACAAATTCTCTTAAGTGAATCCTGTTTTTCTGTTGACTAGCATTATACAATTATTGACTATTACTCTGGGGAAAAAAAGGCTGATCCTAGAATGTAATAAGATCACTCTCAAGTATGCAACATTTTTGACAATTCAAGTTTAAAGGAAAATAACTATCCACTAAAATATTAACAATAATCCTCAAAATAGCAGGAACATTGAAATTATCACAATTGAGTAACAGTACTAAATAAAGTTGTTGCAAAAGAAAAATGCAAAAGAAAAAACACATGATATAAAATTACTAAATTTTCATCCTTTCCCCATCAAAAAAATCCAAAATGTTTGGAGCTTTAGAATTTTAATTAAGGTTTTCATCAGTCTCAAGCCACCTAAAGATGTCTAAGTTTATTTTTTCATCATCCTTTCCACTTCCCTTTTACTTGTCCTTAGCATTTTACTCTAGATGGTTTTCCTATTAATTTAAAAAATAGTTATGCTGCTTTACATGTGAGGAAATGGAACATTCAGCTAAGTGCTAAAATATCTAATCTTTGCAAAACACGAATTTTGTTCTGCTTTCTGCAGAGACATGGTCAGCTGGGGTATTTAGGTAATGGCAAAGATGATCAATTTGCAAACTTTTTGTGCTATAAAAATTGATTTGTTACCACTACCTCACACCAATTAGGATGGCTGCTATTAAAAAAGCCAGAATGTAACAAGTGTTGGCAAAGATGTAGAGAAATTGGAACCCTTGTGCACTGTTGGTAAGAAAGTAACATGCCAGCTTCTGTGGAAAACAGCACGATAGTTTCTCAAAAATTAAAAATAGGATTACCATAATCATAATTATCTAGCAATTCTACCTCTGCATATGTATCCCACATAATTGAAGAGATATTTATATACCCATGCTCATAGTCTTAAAATATGCTAGTTTTGGTGGAAAACTTGAGTTAAAATTTCTTAAATATTGAAACGTCTTGTCAAAACTTTCCAAGCTATTAACTTTTCCCTTCCTGAAGTCTTATTCATATCCAGCCAAAATGTGGAGGCAACCCAAGTGTCCACTGACTGGTGAGTGGATAAACAAAATGTGGTCTATACATACAACAAACTATTATCCAGTCTTTCAAAGGAGGGAATTCTGACACATCATCAGCATGGATAATCCTTGAGGACATTATGCTAAGTGAAATAAGCCAGTCACAAAGGACAAATACTGTAGGATTCCATTTATATGAGGAACTAGAATAGACAAATTTACAAAGACAGAAAGTAAAATGATGGTTGCCAGGGGCTAGAGTGAGGAGGGAATGGGAATTACTGTTTTATGGGTCTGAAGTTTCTATCTGGAAAGATGAAAGATGTTCTGGAGATGGATGGTGGTGGTAGTTACACAGCAATGTGAATGTACTTAGTGCTCCTGAACTGTATATTTAAAATAATCAAGATGGTAAATGTTATGTGATATGTAATTAATTAATTCACAATTAATAATGAAATTTTAAAAGTTGTAAAAAATGGATTTGTTGCCAAATGACTAGATTTACGAATTAAAGCAATGTCTGCTATACTAATTAGGATGTATTACTGAATCAACACAGTTTTTTGAGAATTATTAGACTTTTCTGCAACGTACATAGAGAGAAAATGTCAAATAGATTTGGCTGCCTCTGTTCGAACAAGCAGAGGTGGCACTAAATGTTCCAAATTCTATTCATATGAGGGCACTTCTTCTTAAAACACATAACTTTATTTCTTTGTAGCTCTCTTAGTAAATTCTCCAGAGAGTAAGAGCAAAAGCTGGGGGTGTTTGAGGAATAGCCAGGGGTCTGAGTGACTGGAGAAACATGAAGAAGGTGGGGCAGAGGGAGGAGGTTAGTTCAGATGAAGTCAGAGAGCCAACTAGGGACCATGGCTTTTTCCTTGCACAGGATGGGGAAACCATGGCAGGGTTTTGAATAGAAGAGTATTGTGGGGTTTTTTTTGTTTGTTTTTTTTGAGACAGAGTCTCACTTACTCTGTTGCCCTGTGCAGTGGTGCAATCTCAGCTCACTGCAACGTTGGCCTCCCAGGTTCAAGAGATTCTCCTGCCTCAGCCTCCCGAGTAGCTGGGATTACAGGCATGCAACACCACACCCTGGATAATTTTTGAATTTTTAGTAGAGGCGGGGGTTTCACTGTGTTGGCCAGGCTGGTCTCAAACTCCTGACCTCAAGTGATCTGCCCGCCTCTGCCTCCCAAAGTCCTGGGATTACAGGTGTGAGCCACTGCACCCGGCCATGTGATTTGATATATGTTTAAAAAGTACACAAACTGTGTACTACAAGGGAGATGAAATGGAAGTGCAGAAATGGAATTCTAGAGGTGAGAGATTACTTTCACCTGGGGGAATCCTGGAAACAAAAATCTGAGGCTGAGCTACAGAGGAGAAAGAAATGTATTCCTTTTCACATTTGAGTATGCTTGAGAATCTCTAAACAGCACAACTGCACCAAGAATTCTCTTGCATTATTACTCTGTACTATTAATTTGTTTGTTGATAGCAGCAAATGAGCTTTCACTTACTGAGTCCTGTGTGAGCCCAGACTATTTCAGCACTTAAGAGTCCTTCAATGACTACCTCAGAGGTGGATCTCAGGGTGTCTGGGGCTCCTATGCACATATGTTTCTTGTTGTTTACAAAGCTCTTTGGACTTAATCTGAATGAGAGTTGCCCTAAAAAGCTGGAGACAAATGATTAGCCATAAAGTTTTATTTTTCAACATTTAATTTTTAGAATAATTAATTTAATAACAGATTTTAGGGCATGTATTCCTTGCTACTTAGTGGTTTATGTCTCTTTTAGGAGAATACCTCATTATGTTCTCTATATTGTCACATAAGAGATGCTGGTTCTGCTTTTGATTCTAGGAGTCAGTTTAAGTGACCATAGATGATATACGTAGTGTATATCATCTAGGGCTGGAAGGTAATCAATTAACAAACGGTTTAAATTGCTTGGGCCTGAAGATTCTAGAGTTTCTGCAAGAACAAAATCAAGCCTGTCTTCTATATCCTTGAGAAAACCTTCTATATTTATAGTAGTGCTTTCCTCAAATTCAACCTGACTGTAAAAATGCATGATGATGTGCCAAATAAAGGAAGTGTGCGTGCACACACACACACACACAAAATTAGTAAGAATTAGTAACAACAAATTCTAAACACAAGCCTTGATATGCTAAAAACTATAATATGGTAAAAAAATAAAAATAAAAAAATCAAATGCTTTCAGCTTAAAATGCCCTGCCAAGGTTTTTTTCTTCAACCCAAAATGCTCACTTAAGTAATCTTCTACCACAAAGTTAAAGCTATACAGAGTAAACAGAAATAGAACTCAACTGTGCCCTTCCTTGGTATATTCAAATAACTTTCTTCAACACTTATGCAATTCTGTGAATTGGTAACGTCATTGAAAATATGCTAGTTTTGGTATAAGTTGAGTTAAAATGTCTCAAATATTGAAAAGTCTTGTCAAAAGTTTCCAAACTATTTTTTCTCTCCCTGAAGTCTTTATTTGGTGCAAATTCAGCATTTAAATATTTGTGCTAATTTAAGTTTTCATTACATTTTTTCTTTGGAAAAAAAATTTGGTTGAATGATTGACTAATTATAAAAGATATGGCCCAAATTAAAAATAACTGAAGTTTATGACATTGAAGGAAGATATGCTTTATCTCTGTACTCTAAATACAATTCTATTCTTTTTCCTGAAATTATATCTGTGAATTTCTGTATTCTTTCTATTTTGTTAAAAAATTTATTTGAAAAATGCTGAAAAACCCAAAATGCAAAAACTACTTAGAATTAAACAATTTAGGAAACAACACAGATGTACAAGTGAGAGCCATCCCTAGGCACTGCCCCTGCTTCACTAATTCTACAACAGAGTGGTAACCCAGTTAACCTATGTTTTTCAATTTTCATGTGTTTATAGGCAGTCCTATGTATACATATCTACCAAACAACTGACTCTGCTATTCATTGGTCCTGTAATTTAACTTCGTTTTTCTTTATATCTATGGCTAGCTTTCTATCTATCTAATTCTATCTTTCTATCTAATTCTACCTCAGATGTCACAGTCTGGAGGTCTGCTGGGGAAAGGGACTACACATAAATTTTGCTTGGTTTGAGCCATTTAATGTGTTTGAAAAAATGGAATTTGCATCCCTTTTGATGACAGGCCTTCTGATTCCTATTAATTTCACTCAACTCTTTATTATCATATCTGCTTAGTGATCTGAAGCATTTATATTTGCGGCTTCCAAATAATATTCCATTATATTGTTATAGTCTCATTTATTTAGCCCCTCCTCATATTGGAACTTGAAGTGGCTCTTCCTCCCCACCTTTTTTTTTATTATTAAAAACAATGCTGTCCTGATCATTCTTAAGTACCTACTCTATGTTATTTCTTTGGTATAAATTTTTGAAAGTGGGGTTGCTCAGTTGTAGAATATTACATATTTAAAACTTTTATAGACAGTGCAAATTACTCTAAAACACAAAATTACCATTTATACTTCCAGGAATAGTATATAGGAGTTAAATTTTCTTATACCCTTTACCAATAGGTTGTATCGACTTGTTAAATTTTTTTCATTCTGAATAGCGATAAAATTATTATGGCTTTAAAAAGTATTTTTTAAACTATTGATGAAATTGACCTTTTCATATGTTTATTGCTATATGTATATATATATGTATATATATAGTCTGTGAATTTCACAATCCTATGCTATGACTGTTTTTCATATGGATAATCTGTCTGAAATGTAAAATATTAATCTTTGCTTTAAATGTTGAAGATAACTTTTTTTAGTTTTTGGATGTCTTTTAACTTTGTTCTTTTACCTTTTGACATATAGGAATTTAAGATTTGTATTTAATTAAATTTCTTATGTGTCGCTTTAAAAACTTCTTTGTCTTAGTAAGTTTGAGGGGCAATTTATCAATTTGTACTCTTATACAGTGTTGGTGGGAATGTAAGGAATAGTACACATAAGCAATGGTAAAATTTGGCAAAAAAATCCCATATATACACACACACACACACACACACACACACACACACACACACACATGCATATATGGCATAGCACAAGAATGTGCAATTCACAGAATATATATTATATAGCAACAAAATATGGAAAGAGGTCAATTATTATATATGTGTAGAAATACACACAGCACTGTTTAACACAGCTTTAAGTGTAAGAACAAAGCCCATAAGATGTTCATTTCTTCAATATTTAGTAAATATATCAAACATTTTCTGTACACAAAGCACATTTGAAAGCTTGAAACTTAAAATCTAACTAGTTTCTAAAATACCTTAAAAAATACTGTGGCATGGAAGCTAGTGTTCTTTTGGAATTTTCATTTTCGATTTATATGTGTTTTCTGAAAACAACAGAACACATACAACACCTCTCCCTGCCGTATTGTTGTATTAAGCAATGTTGGGATTGATGTGAAGATTAAATCTTCATGTCTGCCTTTATCTGTCTCCTACTTTTACATGTTTGACCTGTGAATTGAACTGATTTTGTTTACTTCTATTCTTTTATCTCTTTTATTTGTGATAAATTTTCAATATTAATTTACCTAAAGGAGGTATCTTATTTGTAATTGAAATCTCAACCATAGCAGTAAGGTGTGGATTTATTCTGAGGATGATACAATGGCCTAAATTAATGTGGCAATGGATTCCAGCAGTTTTTCTGTTTTAAGTTTGAAAAACTTTGTAAGTCTTACTTCTTGATGATCAGAGAGGTTGTTGTGGGTTTTGTGTGGCACTTCTCTCCCTTAAGGGATCTGACTGATAGAATCGACGTTTAAAGAAAAGTACATGTGTGTGTATATACATATTATATATAATATAATATATATTATATGTTATATAGTATGTATTATATATAATATAATATATATGTTATATCGTATGTATTATATATAATATATATTATATGTTATATATATTATGTATTATATATATTATATACATGATAATAATTTGCAAGGAGTGTCAACATAATAAAGCTTTAGTGCAGCATCCTAGAGATATTTGCAGATTAACACCTTGTTTGCTAATTGTGTCAGTGCTCAACTTAAGTTGCAAAATATGAATGTAAAGAGTATGAGAGTCTTGCAGATGGGATTGTTAAAGCAAACATCTGCACATATGTTTCAGCTTCAGCTCATAGAAATAAGGCTTCTACTGTCTCTCCATATGGAAAATCATTGAAGAGAGCATATTTGTCCCCTCTCTTGCTGGCCCACTTTTCACTCCTATCTACTCCTATAACCAGAAAAATTATGTATATTATATATATTATATATTATATGAGATATATAATATGTATATATAATATGTTACATATTATAACATATAATATGTATATATAATATGTTATATATTATAATATATAATATGTATTATATATTATATAATATGTATTGTATATTATATGTATATATATACATATATATGTATTATATATTATATATAATATGTATTATATATAATATATAATATGTATTATATATACTATATGCATATGTATTATATGTATTATATATTATATATAATATGTATATACACACACATATATATAAAGCAGCTCTTTTGAGTATATGTTCAAGTGTGCTATACCTCTCCATCCAGTGCTCTCTTACAAATGCTGGATTTGGGACTTCCTGTCTTAACCTGGGATCCCACATTAGGGACTTCCTCTCTTGACCTGGGATCCGCACATTTCAGATTGCCTGTAGAGCTTTTCCAGCCTTTAAGACAAACTCTGAATCCATAAATTGAGCCAGTTGCTGGAAAGCTAAAATCCTATCTCTGTCAAAGTGGAGCAGAGAGACAAAGGTGAGTCCACAAAAACAGATTTTCTTACCTCAGAGTGATGTGAAGGACAAGGTGGCTCCAGTGTCTAAACTCTGGGAGTGAGAGAATAGCGAAGAACTGCCCCTGAATCCAGTAAGTTAAAGAAACGGCAGTGCTAGCCTGGTTCCTGCTTTTGAGGCACAGTAGCCCTGCCCATTATTAGCAAATGAACCCAGCTCTTGTCAATTGGATCAGGAACTCATTTTTCTGGGAGTAGATAGGAGTGAAAAGCAGGCCAGCAAGAGAGGGGACAAAAATGCTCTCTTCAATGATTTTCCATATGGAGAGACAGTAGAAGCCTTATTTCTATGAGCTGAAGCTAAAACATATGTGGAGATGTTTGCTTTAACAATCCCATCTGCAAGACTCTCATACTCTTTACATTCATATTTTGCAACTTAAGTTGAGCACTGACACAATTAGCAAACAAGGTGTTAATCTGCAAATATCTCTAGGATGCTGCACTAAAGCTTTATTATGTTGACACTTACTCCTTCCAAATTATTTTTAATTACAGCAATAGTAAGAATGGACAATGGAAACCCTAACTGCATTGTTTTAGTTAATTAAACATGGGTCTCCCAGTTGTGTTTTTGTTACTTGTTGCATGCAGGTAACTATAGGTTAGATGCTTTGGGAACATAAATATGAATATGATGGACTGTAGCTACAGAAAGATCATAATACAATACAATTATTGAGCATGAAGCTTTGAAATTATACTGCCTGAGTTTGGGTATTTGTTGTCCCACTTAATGTCTCTACACTTCAGTTTCTTTAGCTATAAAATGGGGACGATAATAAGGTTATATAAAGATTAAATTAGATAGTATATATAAAGCATTTGGCATAGTGCCTGGAACTTGGTAAGTATTCAAAAAATGTTTGTTACTATGGTAATGACGACTGTACTATGACTGCTACCACTATCGGATAGTGGATGAATTACTCAACATTGACTTCCAAATCACCCTTCTGAGGAATAGAGCCGTAAATGTTACCTACGGTAAAAGTTGTCATGTGACTCTACTGTCCTGCCCACAATTGATTGAACTGGCAGTTGGTACCTACAACCAATGATTCTGAGTTATCGTGTTGACATACTTTTGAATAGTAGAACTTTTGCCAACCTCAGAGAGACTGAAGTCTATTCACAGTTATAGCACCAGTGACTGGCTCACCTTGGGCACCATGTGGCTGGGTAATTATTTGTGATACTCATTCCACCTTTGTGCTCATGAGTCACGGTTCCAGTACTGAACTGAAACTAGTCTATGTCTTCCTCACAGTCACCTACACCCAGAATATCCCATAGCCTACCCATGCAGTTTAGTGATTTAACCCACAGGCATTGCCTTAATAATATGTTTTGCAGTTGTGCCTGCAGACTTGAGAGTGACTGACCATCACAGGGGGGATTATTTGCCTTCTATTTGAGAGCTGCCACTTCCTCTAGGAAAGTCATGTATTACAATGGATCCCAGTGCTTGTGTATGTGCACATGGGATGGAATGGGAATGAATGTGTCAGAATTACCTTCACTCCCAACAAGACATCCTGAAAATACCACGTGGGTAAGCCAGTGATTTATTCCATTATGACTTTTATATTTCCCCTTATTAAGGTTCAAGATTATTCGTAACATGGGAAGTATAATTGCACAGACAGGTAGAGATTTTGGAGTCTTTATTGTTTAGTATATAGCTAGGCCACTGAAATATCGAGATCCTATAAGAGTGTGGCTTAAAAGAACAAAGCTGGAGGCATCACGCTACCTGACTTCAAACTATACTACAAGGCTACAGTAACCAAAACAGCATGGTGCTGGTACCAAAACAGAGATATAGACCAATGGAACAGAACAGAGCCCTCAGAAATAATACCACACATCTACAACCATCTGCTCTTTGACAAACCTGACAAGAACAAGAAATAGGGAAAGGATTCCCTATTTAATAAATGGTGCTGGAAAAACTGGCTAGCCATATGTAGAAAGCTGAAACTGGATCCATTCCTTACACTTTATACAAAAATTAATTCAAGATGGATTAAAGACTTAAATGTTAGACCTAAAACCATAAAAACCCTAGAAGAAAACCTAGGCATTACCATTCAGGACATAGGCATGGGCAAGGACTTCGTGTCTAAAACACCAAAAGCAATGGCAACAAAAGCCAAAATTGACAAATGGGATCTAATTAAACTAAAGAGCTTCTGCACAGCAAAAGAAACTACCATCAGAGTGAACAGGCAACCTACAGAATGGGAGAAAATGTTTGCAATCTACTCATCTGACAAAGGGCTAATATCCAGAATCTACAAAGAATTCAAACAAATTTACAAGAAAAAAACAACCGCATCAAAAAGTGGGTGAAGGATATGAACAGACACTTCTCAAAAGAAGACATTTATACAGCCAAAAGACACATGAAAAAATGCTCATCATCACTGGCCATCAGAGAAATGCAAATCAAAACCACAATGAGATATCATCTCATACCAGTTAGAATGGCGATCATCAAAAAGTCAGGAAACAACAGGTGCTGGAGAGGATGTGGAGAAACAGGAACACTTTTACACTGTTGGTGGGACTGTAAACTAGTTCAACCATTGTGGAAGCTGGTGTGGCGATTCCTCAAGGAACTAGAACTAGAAATACCATTTGACCCACAAATCCCATTACTGGGTATATACCCAAAGGATTATAAAACATGCTGCTATAAAGACACATGCACACGTATGTTTATTGCAGCACTATTCACAATAGCAAAGACTTGGAACCAACCCAAATGTCCATCAATGATAGACTGGATTAACAAAATATGGCACATATACACCATGGAATACTATGCAGCCATAAAAAGGATGAGTTCATGTCCTTTGTAGGGACATGGATGAAGCTGGAAACCATCATTCTCAGCATACTATTGCAAGGACTAAAAACCAAACACTGCATATTCTCACTCATAGGTGGGAATTGAACAATGAGAACACTTGGACATGGGAAGGGGAACATCACACACCAGGGCCTGTCATGGAGTCGGGGGAGGGGGAGGGATACATTAGGAGATATACCTAATGTTAAATGACGAGTTAATGGGTGCAGCACACCAACATGGTGCATGTATACATATGTAACAAACCTGCATGTTGTGCACATGTACCCTAGAACTTAAAGTGTAATTAAAAGAAAAAAAAAGACTGTGGCTTAAAAATAAGGAATTTTATTTCTTTTTCACATTAGAGTTCCAACATGACAGGGAAACCATGTTCTTTATGTACATTTAAGGACTCAGTTTTGCTCAAAGTCATTTT
The DNA here is from genome assembly GCF_000001405.40 of Homo sapiens. Taxonomy (NCBI): domain Eukaryota; kingdom Metazoa; phylum Chordata; class Mammalia; order Primates; family Hominidae; genus Homo; species Homo sapiens. The sequence continues at coordinate 110,810,855 of NC_000004.12, forward strand.
TCTGACATACCCTAGGGAACTGTCATCATCTGCATGGTCTATGCTGGGTCACCACCATGTCTGTGTTCAGGCTCGTGGAAGGAGGAATAAGAAAGTGAAAATGGCAAGCTTGATGCTAGGAGGGAAGCTTATAGGCCAGTCCCAGAAGTGGCAAAGACCACTTCCCTTCAGTTCCACTGGTGGGGACCTAGTTCATGGCTGCTCTTCAATGGAGAGAGACTGAGAATTGTAGGTACTCTAACTGCACAGCCATGTGTCCTAGATGAAGAGGAGAAGGGGTTTTTGGAGGGTAACCTCCAGTCTCACCACAGAGGCCTTGTTGAGAAACATGAGATGTACAACTGTATTATCAAACATTAACTGTGACCAGGAGACACTAAGAAAATACCTATTCTCACTGAGTTTTTGGGAAAAAGCTTGTGATTTCCAAAGATTATAACTTTATACTCAATTAATATACTTACATATACACATATTCATAAATATATTTTGAATAAATTCTCAGAGATGATATTGCAAGACATACACTGTAAATGTGGGACATGATGTGACACACTATAACAGTTGCTGTACTATAAGGACTTTAGATTTATGATTTGGGATACCTGAGATTTAGTGCTGTCACTGCCATTAAATGGGTAACTTTGTCCAATGTGTTTAACATTTCTGGGTCTCACTGCCCAAGATATCTTAAGTTTTAACAGTACAGTCCTGTCCTGTTGATTCTACCTCTATAATAGATCTTAACAGCATCCATTCTTCTGGTCATAATTCCTTCCAGAGTTTATAATCCAACTTCTTTTCCTTCTCTAGCCCCACTGAGGTTATTCCTCCCAGATTGATCCCACTGATGTTCTTCCAGTCCCTAGACCTCTCTAAACGCTTCTTGCTCATGACCTCTGCATCTGGTAGTCTCTCTGACTGCCCCTTGGTCTTCTCTCTTTTGTGTGGCCATTTCCTTCTCATCCTTCAGGTCTCAGCTTTGATGTCTCTTCTTTAGAGGAACTTCTCCTACCACTCTGTCTAAAGTTTTTTAGTTTATCTCAAACTCAGTTTATTTCTTCAACCATACTTGGTATTGTCTTTTGTATCTATTTATTTGTTTTCTTTCTGTTCCCCTCATTGCACTATTAACTTCACTGAACTATTAAGGTAATGGGATATATCTGTATTTTTCATCCTTTTAATCCTATCACCTGGCACAGTGCCCTGCACCTAGCTGGTGCTCAGTAAATATATGTTGAATAAATTAATACAGGAATTTAGAAATGTGTGGTCTAAATAGGTAAGTACATTATTTAATGTAATTAAAAAATTCATACTTCTTCAAAATTTTATGGAAAAACTTAAAAAAATCAGCGAACCTTATTTTGAAACAAATATTTCATAATATGAATTTCTCTCTATTAATTGTGTTTCTTTTTAATTTTAGATTTACTATCCTATCTATCTTTAAATGTTCTTTGATTTGAATACTTCTGCAATCCAGTTAAGATGGAAGGTTTGGGGGAGAGAACTCACTATACTTAGGCTATCATTTTGTTTTGTATAATTTTAATCATGACAGTCTTTATCAAATCCATGTCTATTTAAATATTTATTTTCTTTTGCATATGTTGGGATGGAATATGTTGTTTTAATTAGCGGCACCGCTTTCTTGTTGCTAAATGTATTGCTCTGGCATTTGACCAAAAGCAAAACAGAATCAACACAGTGTAATCTATGGAAAGGGAACTGAATCTCACTGCACATAGTATTTCATCAGCTGTAGGTTAAGGGATAGTCTATCCAGTAAAGAATGTATATAGCAACTATACCTCTATACTCCATGACAGTCAGAGCTGCCATTTCTGGTTCTCAGAAGAAACTTTTTTATTTGACTTGGATCAGCCTACAGCTAGATGACAATAACATAAAATAAAGTTGAAGAAAAAAACAGTTGTTAAATAAATCCATTACTTTAACGAGCTCTCCTTCTGTATGTTTTATAAGGGGAATATCAAACTTTTTAGACTCTAATGAGAGTTTATCACATAAATGTACACTGAATAAAAAGAATCATGCAGTTGTGTCAGAAAAAGTAGCAAAGGCCTTTTTATGAGAGCTGACTTGTAATATGTATATATGTTACTGGCTAATTTGATTATGGTAAATCATCATTGTATTTTATTTATTAACTTATGATTTCACAGTTGCCGGCTGAGTTCCCTTTAACAAACTCCATATTTATTGAATTCCCTCTATGCACAAGGTATAATGGGCATTTATTTTTTCAGATAGGCAATCATCTTAGTCACATTATTGTGAAATATATGAGTACTATATAATTATCTTCAAAAGGAAATCCTGAATATTTAATATTAATATTTAATGTCATTAAAGTCAAATTTATCTCTATTGCCTGTCTTTTTTTTTTTTTCTAAAGCAGAGCAATTGAAAGCTGAAAGGTGAAAAGGAGTGGGAAAAGCTGGTTCACCATGGCTCAAACACAGCTCAAACTTTACCCAGCAATGAGCTTTCTATTGGCTTGACTTGGAAAATACAATTTATATGTGTCATGTAAAAGGGGAAATGATACATCAGAACTTTATTATAACACTATTCTCTCTAAAGTGTAATTTAGCACAAGATATGACTTGTAAAGGTTACCACTAAAACTCTATCAAAACATCATTGTTTTATATCTGTGAGATATAAAATATCCCTGAAATCAGGAAGCCTTCCCACAGATTTACAGATTAACTCTAAACTTTAGATCTTTTTTCTCTTTTTTAGTACATACATGCGTGTCACTAAAATGTCTGTATATAACATGTGAAATATTGTTACTCAAGAAATTTCTTAAGAGCAGGTTAATTTTATAAGACAATGGCCTTATGTTTCTACGTATAAAATATCTACAGGCCTTCTCTGCTAAAATCCCAGTTTTGTTTAGTTCCAAGTAATGTGATAGAAGGGTCTATTATAAAACTATTTGCAAATGTGGAAGCCGTAGATTTTACTATGGATTTAAGAAGGGAGCTTACTTTAAGATTTTCTGGCATAGGGTGTTTTTTTTTCCCTTAAAAAAAACCATATTTAGGAAAGTAAATAGGGAGACAAAGGCTAAGAAAACAAAAATTATTTAAGATTTTAGGCTGTACAAATAAAATTGTAGAAACAAAATTATTAAAAATAGCTTACTGACCAAATTCAGCTGAGATTTACAGCCACACCCCACATCATCATAGTATCATATTGGTAATTGTAACATTCTTTTCATATGAAAAAAAATCAAGCACGTGTAAAGTTATCCTAATTGAAAAACATTTCAGGACAATATGTTTATTACTTCTTATTCATGTACATTTTCAATTACAGCCCAAATTTATACACATGTTGCTTGCAAAATGCCATTTGGATATAATATGGTAAATTTTAAAAACCACAAAATCCTTAGCTTTATAACACATTCACAGTAAGTATAAACCTAAGCTATGGCTTAGTATGTACCACTGCTACCTCTGGGAAAAAAAAATAAAAGTGTTGGGGAATTTTTATGCAATGGATTCAGTTAGCTCAATTTTTATTGAAGATAGCATTAAAAAATCCATAGTTAAGCAATCATTACTATAATAGTGATTGTTTTTCTAAGTGTTGAGAGTTTGGGCTGAGAGAGAGTGTATTTGAAGACATCTAAAAGATGTTTCCTCCTCTCTGGAAATTATATACTTATGTAGTTGTTTTTGGTTGACTTTTATTGTACAATTACATATTTATTTTAATTATTGTGTAGTTATATATATATATATATATGCTTCTCTTTCTTATGTGTATATAAATGAGGGAATATTATAATCACTCTTTTCTGAATCATTTCCTCTTTACTGACTAGATGGTAGGTACCTCTGGGCCTCCTAATAAATGGAAACAAGGGGGAATAATACACATCAAGTCAGTGTGGAATTTGGAGAAAACTTATAGTTCTAAATGCTTGTCAACATCATCATGAAAATGTTAACTGTGTGGCCATTGCATGTGATGCATTGCTGCCTCACTTATAACTTCTAGAACTCTATAGTTGCTCACCAACCACATCCACACAGACTGACATAAAAGGTATACACCCGACAGCATAAGCACATAGTGAGAAAATAAAAGAAATAATAAAAACCTACACAGTAGCCTGGTGTATCACTATTGGGTGGTAACTGAGAGTCTGTGAAAAGTGTTTCATGTTTAGTCAGGGTGAGGCCAGGAGGAGCTTGTCAATGCCTTTCAGTTGTCTAGAAAGACTTCATGGAGACAGAGATTTTTAAGAAGGGAGTGAAGTCATTAAGTTTGCAGAGAAAGAGTATGTTAGGTGTAAGGTATGTGGTCATGAAGATGGCTTATTATTATTAGAGTAAGAAGATTAAATAAGGAAGGCAAAGGGTAGATTTGCTTCCTGGGAGTGGCGTATAAAAACACAATGATATGTTTTCATGAGCTAATGCAAGCAAAAGCGATTGATGAGCAGAAAAATAACCTCAGCAAAAGTGTCAAGAATCAAATAGAGAGAAGTGTACCTGAGTGGGAGAGAGTCAGCTGATATTGTCTAGCTCATAGGATTGAGAAGAGATATTTGAGGTGTGAAGAAAGTTGGGACAGGGGTTAGAAATGTCGGGATGTACACTGAAGTAGCTTGAATATGAAACAAGTAAGAGAGGAACAAAAACTCAAGGGGAAAACATGTGTACTGAAATATTCCTTATACATAGAGGGAATTTTTATCAAAAGCTGTGCATTCATATGATTTGGTCTTTGAGGAATTAATTTTAAAGAACTGTTAAAATGTGTTCTTTGTGATCCAGTGTAGGCCACGGGGAATTGATAATGTTCCTAGAAGTTGTAATCAGCTCAATTGAGTAAAGACCCTTTACCCTAGGACCATATCCATTATCATAGCCCAAAACACCTCCAAGTGCCCATTGGCCATTTGGCCCAGTTCTAGGTACTGTGTAGCCAAGCTTTTGGGACACAGTTTTCAAAAGCAGATCAAAATATTTTTGAGGCATAGCAATCATCTAATCTGCCTGAAGAATTATGTTACCGTGAAAAGTGATGTCTTAAACCCATAAATTTGCGATGTTAGAATGAGTCATTTTTTATATCCTTTACAAGCGAAAAAGTACTCAGGCCTGTTGACAAAGCAAAGAAATGGTGTCAAAAATAATTTTAAAACCTTTTGACCTATAAGGTTTAAAAGAATTAGGCACAGATTCTTTGCTTTAAGCCTCTTGGTGACAAGAAATATGGTACTCTGCCAGACTGTTTGATTGACAGTAGCGTTTGTAGTTTCAGCTGCTAATACAGTATGCTTCTTGTATATTCTGGGTGGGTAAATATAGAAGACTATTTGTCACCTGGGTTGATGGATTACAAATAAGTAAGACAATGTGTTTAGGATTCTGAAGCATAAATGAAAAGTCAAAAACCTTATATTATTTACAATATAACGTTTATGCTTTCAGATTTGTTATCCCTATTACATCAATAAAAATGATTGGGTTTTAAAATAAGCATGCAACTCATTTTTAACCATCTCTTTTCATTACATAGTTATTTGCTGCAAGATAGTATCAATTAAGCATAGAAAAAAACTGATTAGAATGAAGAACTTATTATAGATAGCTGCATTTATTTTTAAAGATCATGATTCAAGTATCTTAAAATTTTTCCACTCATAGGACCTATGACTAATGACATGTTTCTCCACCCATGAAAAGCTGGTTGTTTTCAGTACCTAATTAATGTTCAAGCTTATTGTACACACTTATGCTTAGAACGGTGGCATTTCTGAAAAATCTTCTTGGTCAACAGCCCTCTAATAATATTGATTTCTCTTTGTACAACATTTTGAATTTGCTAAGGTGTTACAAGTAGTATAACATAATTTCAAAATGATATCGTGAATGGCTCAGTAATTAATATTTTCAAAGAACCGTGCTATTCAAGATGAAAAGATTATTAAGGTGATATTACTGGGTCTTTGGATTTAGAAAGAAAATTTGCTTTGGAAAGCACATTATCACCTTTCAGGACAAGAAGCAAAATTGGCATTTTTAGCATGCTACTCTTATCTTTATTTGCTGATAAAGAAAGAATCCAGAGTTTTTCAAAACTTTAAATAAAAGCCTATGGTGAGGTTCACATTACCCAATGTTTAAAGAAGAAATAAAAACTCCAGACATAAAAGGATGGGAACAAAATAGAAACAATAGTCTTGACATTTTATTTTAGAGCTTTTAAAAAATATTACTATTCAAAACAAAACTCAACATATGAAGTCTATTTGCTTTCATCTACATAATTAATACAGAATTATACTGAAGTACATGGAAGTGTAAAAGCTAATGTTCTTTAACTTCATGTCATAACACTATCATTTCATAATGGATATTCAGCTTCTTTTTGAGTAGGTTTTCTTTTGATGTCTATGTTTGAAGACCACATATGCTAAATGGGAGGAAACACACTTAATTCTTATTGTTATAACTTGTGGTTTGGTTTAGAGAATTGTGAAGAGGCAAACAGCATTTTCTTGTGAATCTCTGTTATGAGATAATTGTTACTTAAAACTAGCTGCATTTGACTGTATGTGCTATCAGAATAATGGGACAAGTCAGCTTAAGTTGTATTAAGTAAATTATAATTCAATACTTTAAAATATATAGTATTTAAAAAATCAATACTATATAAATTAGAACTCTATGCCAATAGTACACTCTTGGTTAAATACAACAGTTAAAAATTCTTTCCATGTGAATTTATCTTTCTTTATAAATTGTTTCTATGTGCTACAAAAATTCTTTTATATTTTTTTCCACAAGCATAGAACCATAATCCAGACAGGAATTGTTAATTGCTACATTATTGAATATCAGTTTGGTTACTGACATGCTCAGAGAAATGTTAGATTAGTTTATAAGCTTAAGTTGGATGGCTGACAATAAATTCTCTGTATATCTTGTTAAAATTTGAAACCAGAGGCTTTAAGTTGTATGTTAGGATTTCAAACTAATGAGATCAAACCAGAATAGCTAATAAACTCAGATATCAACTTCTTATTTTGTTTCTTAGAAAAAACAGTGATTAGGTATTACAATGTTAAAGATCTTACAGTCCAGTCTCTTTACTATATGGATAAAGAAATGGAGGTGTGAGGTAAGGAAGTACTGTGATGAAGGTAACATAACAGTGAGTGGGGCAATGGAACTCAAAAGCAATGCTGCTTTTACTACACAACATGGCTACTAATGGACCAGGATAATTTAACCTAGTATTTCCTGGAACTCTGTAGTCAGGATTCCCTGATTCTCTTCGCAGAAATACTACACTATATGTTGCTTACAGATAATAGTATTTTGGGGATACAACAATAACAACAAAAAGAATTTTTAATTGAAAAAGCACAATTTGTAGATCTTTAGCAGACACAGAACATGGACACCAAAGGAACCACCTCTGTCTTTGCTCTTGACACATTTATGGTAGAAAGAGTGGAGGGGGGGCTATGAGGCATTTCCAGCTGCATTCACTCTTTAATCTTACAGGAGATTAAAATACAAAGTATTTCTCTTATTTTTGCTCATGGAGATGCTTTTAAGAAGTTAAAAATTGATGATGTTTCATATTTGTGTAGCGCTTATTGTCTAAATAATTTGAAAACACTTAAGCACCATTCGATTTCATAGTTTCCAACAATTTGACACGACTCTGAGAGAAAGCACTGAGCAGCCTAGCCAGTCTCGGGGTGAACACCCACAGAACAAGTTTTCCAATTTAGGTAAAAATTTAGCCTCCTAGGAATCTACCAAATGAAGTGCAAGGACAATTATATGAGGTATAAATTAAAGCTTGTGTACCCAATTAGGAAGACCTCTTGTTAGTGTTATTGTTAGTGCTTCTTGAAAACATAGAAATTCCCATTGCTTTACTCATGAGTTTGTTTGTGTTTTGAATGTGATGTGTTAACTATTAAAATATGAGGTGTGAAATATTGTTATACAAATGTAAATGATTACAATTTTAATATAATACCTTTAAAGTATTGTCAGGTAGGGTTAAATTAATTCACTTGTGGGTAGTGGTGAATCTAGAGCCAGCCTGTGCCTCTAGATTTCTAGTTCATTATCCTCTTAAGTTCCAAGTTAGGCGCACTTTATGACACACACAGAAATTAGAAGATGTTTGCAGGTTTAGAAGCTGAAGAAAATGAGGGGACATTATATGGAATGTAAATAAGGACATGAAAAAGAATTGTAAAAGTCAACCAAGAGCTCTGATACTAAATTCATTGAGGACACTGATACCCATTGTCATGAATGGTGACACTGGCACTATAAAAATCATTTTATGTATAAGAATGACTGTGACAAAGTTTTAATTTTTGAAAATATAGTTGTATAAGGTTTCTCATGTCTGGTATTTTAGCTTTTGGTTTGAGAATTATTTTAAAAGAATATAGGACAATTTAGTTACTGGATTGGTATTCAAACTACTGGACTTACTCAATATTCTTCCATCAAAATCAAATCCAAAAGAACAGAGATTTATTCTCATATCTAATAGGAATCTAGTAGACAATGCTAAAATTAGTGAACTAAGTAAGGTGAATCAAAGTTAGAACCCAAATTATGTTCAATGCAAGCAAAGCTTTACTTATTGCTTTTGGTAAGTACAATTCAATGTGATAATGTATGTCAATTAATTGAAGCAGTCTGATAGATGAGCTTCTGGTAAATGTACCCAATTTTATATGAGAGACTCAGGGTTTTACGGACTGTCAAAGTAAGACTTAGTAAGAAATGCATCGTGATTAAATGAGTATACGATGTGTGAAGAATGTTTACACCAGTACAAGGAAACCTAGTTGGTCATCTGCTAGAAAGTCAAATTGGCAGTGGTTGTTTCTAATGTATCTTTTTCTTGTGTGATGTGTCATATGTATAATGATTACATTTTAGATAAAGTGAATGGATCTATCAAACATTTATCAGACTCCTTCACTGTAAGGTGCTGTGGAGGTGCCTCATTTAAACCACCATAGTTAAACCTCAAAGAGCAGCCCTATGGATCTGGCAATTTTATTCTCAACTTCGTTTTAGAGGTGAGGAAATTAAAGCAAAGACAACTTAAGTAATTTTTCCAAGGTTCTAAGACTGTGCTCAAAGACAGGATTTTAATTCCACTGTCTTTTTTCTTTCTATCACATCACACAGTGGTTGCAACTTGCTTTTCTGTAAATGTAATGAAGGAAACATCGCAGACCTTGTATAAAACTCATCTACAGATTCTTTGGTAGTTAGGTCTTTTTAGTGCTGCTTTGATAATGAATTCTGGTAAAAAAAATTCTTTTATAATAATAAAATGTTTTTAAAAATCCTCCTTGAATTTTCTGAAGTGCAATAGCAGATAACGCAGCTGTGAATGATAAAAATACCTCACTGCACTGTTTCTATTTGTCATTGCTCAGCTGAAGAGAAACAGGGCCAACTGCGACCATAACTGAGAGACTTCTGAAAGTTATTTTCCAATTTTAATCTACCATATATTCAGTGGTTACTTTGTGCCAGCTAGTAAGCCAGTTAGACACTGTGTATTCATTTTTTAAAAAGTAGTGTAGCTTTATTATTTTCTGGTTTTGCCATTTGAAAAATTATTCTCCCCCCTCCCCGCCTACATCAGGCCATCTTCCTCTCACACCACTGAATCAGGGAAGAATCTGCTACCGAACAGTAGTATTTACTGACCAAGAGATAACTGTACCTCATTTTGAAGGTGATTCCTCTTTCTACCTAAACTGTATTAGTATTTTTAAATCTTCAGGTAGTGTATATCGGAATCACTAGTGAACTTGTAAAAAGGCATATTTTTAAGCACCACCTAAGTATTTTAAATCACTACATTTTAAATAGCATCCCAGTTTACTGCATGTAAAGAAGGCTTCCCTCTTGAAGGAAAGGCATCTTTTCCACAAACAGAATCTAGAGACCAGTTGGGGATCCTAGTGGGAGGATTGTTTGGAACAGAAGCATCCCGAGAATCGTAACTTTATAGGCTTTCCACCTCCAGAATTATGCTTTTCTTTTTCTTTTCCTTATCTATTCATTTATTTATTCATCCATTCTTCAGGCATTTATGATTTGCTGGCAACAATGGATAAGAAGCAGTCTTGGCAAATAAGGAGCTCACAGTCTAGCAGGGAGACATACACATCATTCCTAAAAACAGCATCACCCTTAGGCCCAGGCAAGAAGAGGCCCTGCCTTGGCCTGTGTGCTTTAGAAAGCTTACCTTCTGGTCTGCCATTTGGCTGTGCCCCTTGCTATGGGAGTGGGAATTTGGAGAGACAAAATAATGTAATCAACTGCAGTTCACGTCTCCTAGATGACAGGATTATCTGCTGGTCTAGTCCCCGGCCTGTGCCTCTTTCCTGAGTCCATTCCTTGGACTCTGCCACTGGTTTGCACACACCAAAGCCCAAGGGATCGTCCAAATACCTAGCTGTTTGCAGGGACAATGGATGGAACGTGGACAGGGCTGAGATATCTATGTGTACACATGTGAAGCTATTGTAGTGTGGAATGAAGATAGAGGTGGCAGGACTGGTTCAGAAGAGAAGCTTATGTTCTGGGATTGAAGGGTAGATCTCCCAGTGTGGCAAGTTCTGGCTCAGAGAAGTACAAGGAGTTTGAGAATTCTAACTTTGAACCTAACCGTCTAGAAGAAATATTTCGCAGGGCAGGAGGAGATAATATATTTTATTTAACAGCTTGTCAGCTTGATTTATAACCTTTAAATATATGAGTATATAACAAGTGAGCTTCCATTTGTACTGTTGCCCCAGACCCTGAAAATGTTAAGGGAGGGCTGCACTTGGAATTAAGAGAGTCCTGAGGAGTGGAGTCACCCAGCTTGTCTGAATCAGGCAACACTTGAGCTAGATATTAAGCAATGGTCAATTGGGAATTATTTAGGCAAGATAAATGGATCAAAGATGAGAGAAAATGGCAGGGCAACGCAGGGCAGGACATGGAATTGACAACTGCATTTAATGCACGAGCCAAGGCAAAAAGGCAGCAAATCGCATGAAGTGTGTTTGGGCCTTAAAATGCAAGTAGAGCAGAGTTTACTAAAAGCTAGGGAGCTTCCACCTTTAGGTTTTCTCACTTGAACAGTCCCTGATGAGTTCTGAGGATTTCTAGGGGTTGTAAGGGTTTTAGGTAGAAAGAGGATGCCAGATTGCAATCTGGAATCATTTCTGTGTAAACATTTCTATTTAATCGCCTAAGGAGATTTCAAAGAAAGAGACCCATATTTTTAAGTCCCAGTATATGTTGTGATTTCTTTTTTTGTCCTAGATAAATATTTACTTTTGTATCTAATTTTGTATCCTTTTTCTTCAATAGAATTCTCTCCTAAATTATAGGTGCCTCAGATCTCACCCAAAGTGGATTCACCTCTGAGTTCAATATATCTTGGAAAGATGAGGCTAGAGAAATTGCAGAGAACCAGGCTTGATTCTTTGCAGGCCACAGAGCCATGAGATTTAGTCAGGGAAGTGACCTGGGTATTTATACATTGGGTATTTTCCACATGATGGGCCATTTGGAGACAATAGACATATTGGAGATTCTTCTAACAATCCCACAGAGTAAAAATGTAGTTTTGAACCAGGGCAGTGGAGAAAAAATATTTATTGAGTAAAATTGGCAAGACTGAGTGTTTGATTAGAAATGCATAGTGGAAGAGTTCAAAGAAGAGTTTGCAATTTCTAATTTTGAGGTCTTATAAATTACATCCAGTTTTAATTGTGTTGAGTTTATATCTGCATAGGATATGCAAGTAGAGACATCCAGCAGTCAGTTAAGAGTGTGATTCTGAAGCTTGGGGGAGACAGCTGGGCTGGCTGGGAATATCTATGAATGTGTGTGTGTCTGTGTGTGTAGTGACATACCTTCACACACACAAATACCTATGTACATTTGCATCTGCATTTATATATACATGCATATCTTTTTGAGCCCAAATATGTATTTGGGAGTTATCAGTATACAGTTGAAACCACCAGAATGAATGAAGTCAATCAGGAAAAGCATTTAAAATGGGTACACCAGAGAGCTGATGACAGAAACCTGAGAAACACAAATGTTTCAGTAACGAACAGAGGAAGAGGACAATAGAAAGGACACAGCAAAGTGAGAATTTTCTCAAAATCTTAAAAATCATAGGAGGGCAGTTTTTTAAATGAGGGAATAATTGACAGTGTCAATAAAGCAATGATAATTAAAAAGTGCAATTTGGTAACTAGGAAGTCATTGGAGATTTTCTGGAGTTTAAGAGGGAATGGAAAGCAGCTTTCAGTGGGATGAGAAGTGACTTGGAAATGAGGAATGGAGACGGTATCTTTCTTGAAGAATACAGTTACTCTTAAAAGTTAAATTGTAAACATATGAAAAATTGTTTGTATTCTGAAGGGAACTGGAAATCAAGTGAGGTATCTCTTTTTGTCTCTCTCCATTCTCTATCTTCGGGCTGAGAGAGGCTTGGGCATGCTCACGATGACTCATGAAGTCAGGTCCCAGGGGGCAGGTATGATTCAAGAGCCTTATTGGGACTCACTATCTGCTGTGCATGAAGGAAATAAGATGATCATGATGCTTACAGTGAAGTAAAAGTGTTGGTAGGTGGTGTTTCAGGCTTTGCTAGAGCAAGATATGAAAACAGTGAGTGAGTGGCAACAAATTACTCTGGTATGATTTCTTCAGGTGCACTCATTCCTTTACACAGCTAATAGATTTGAGTTTGGTATTCAGCTGGGAGGCATAATAGAGGTTAATGGGTAATATGGTTTGGCTGTGTCCCCACCTAAATCTCATCTTGAATTGTAGTTCCCATAATTCCCATAATTGTGGGTGGGACGCAGTGGGAGATAATTGAATCATCGGAGTGGTTTCCCCCATACTGTTCTCGTGGTAGGGAATAAGTCTCATGAGATCTGATGGTTTATAAGGGGAAACTCCTTTTGCTTGGTTTTTTTTTTTTTATATATATATATATAAAGAGGAGTTCTCCTGCATATGCTCTCTTCTTGCCTGCTGCCAGGTAAGACATGACTTTGCTTCTCCTTGCCTTCTGCCATGATTGTGAGGCCTCCCTAGCCATGTGAACTGTGAGTCAATTAAGCCTTTTTCCTTTATAAATACCCAGTCTCGGGTAAGTCTTTATTAGCAGCATGAGAACAGACTAATACAATGGGTACAATAAATGGAATGTTCTAGAGCAAAAAGGTCCCCAACCTTTTTGGCACCAGGGTCTGGTTTCGTGGAAGACAGTTTTTCCACCAATGGGGGTTATAGTTTTGGGATGATTCAAGTGCATTATATTTATTGTGCACTATATTTCTATTATTATTACACTGTAATATATAAGGAGATAATTATACAACTCACCATAATGTAGAATCAGTGGGAGCCTTGAGCTTGTTTCCTGCAATTAGATGGTCCCATCTGAGGGTGATAGGAGACAGTGACAGATCATCAGGCATTAGATTCTCATAAAGAGCATGCAGCAGAGACCCCTCACATGTGCGGTTCACAAGAGGGTGTATGCTCCTATGAAAATCTAATGCCGCGGCTGATCTGACAGGAGGTGGAACTCGGGTGGTAATGCAAACGATGGGGAGCAGCTGTAAATACAGATGAAGCTTCACTCACTTAATGGCTGCCCACCTCCTGCTGTGTGGCCCCCTAACAGGCCACAGACTGGTACTGGTCTGTGGTCTGGGGGTTGGGGACCCCTGTTCTAGAGGTTAAAGAATACTTAGCAAATCAACAATGAGGATTGAGAGAGAAACCAAGAGATAGTCGACAATCTCAGAAGAACTTGAAAAGCTCAGGACTTTGATAAGTTAATGGAGAGGGGTGAATAAAGAAAGGATCTGAGGGAGCTGGGGTGGTAGAACATGGGGTTAGTTTTGAGAGTTTATGATTGCAGAGATGTAATGATGTGTGATGATAACAGAATTGAGAATCTAGCTGAAGTGTTTTGAAGTCTATGGTTGAAATTGGTTGAAAGTGAAAATTATTCAATTTAACAAGGTTTAGAAACCTCAGACAGAGAATAAAAAATTCTAGACTTCCCAAGATACATTTAAAAAAGATAATTTCAACTTCTCTTTAGATTTAGGGGGTATGTGTGCAGGCTTATTACATGGGTATGTTATGTGTTTGTGGTATGGATGATCCTGTCACCCAGGTAGTGAGTATAGTACTCAATAGGTAGTTTTTTAGCCCTTACTCCCTCCTCTCTCTACCCACCAGTAGCCCCAGGTATCTATTGTTTCGATCTTTGTATCTATGTGTACCCAGTGTTTAGCTTCTACTCACAAGTGAAAGTATGCAATATTCAGTTTTCTGCTTCTGTGTTAATTCACTTAGAATAATGGCCTTCACCTGCATCTATGTTGCTGCAAAGGATATGATTTCATTCTTTTTTATGGCTGGGTAGTATTCTATGATGTCTGTGTACCACATTTTCTTTATCCAATCTACAGTTGATGGGCACCTAAGTCATGTCTTTGCTATTGTGCATAATGCTGCAGTGATGCAAACGCATGTGTCCTTTGGTATAACTATTTTCCTTTGGAGTAGCTCTGTTTTAAGTTCTTTGAGAAATCTTCAAACTGCTTTTCGTAGTGGCTGAACTAATTTACATTCCCACCCACAGTGTATAAGCATTCCCTTTTCTCCACAATCTTACCAGCACCCAGGATAAAATTTTGAGAAAGAAAGTGTTAAAGAAAGAGAGAGGTCATTAATTTTCTTTATATTTTGGGTTGCAAAGTTTTAAAAAATCATATTATGACTGTTGGATGTCAATGATAATATTAATGTTTCACTTTGAAACAATATTAACGTTTCATAGTATTAATGTCACAGCTTTTTGTTTTACTTTTAGGATATGTGCTGGAAATAGCGAACAATTTAGAATCAGAAAAACTACTTAATTCCCATTTCTATTATCTGCTGGTGGTGTGACGTAAAGCCAGCCACTCACTGTAGGCCTATTTCTAATATGTATAAAAGAGATAATATCTATTTGTAGGGTAGTTAGTGGTGATCAAATGTATGTGCAAGTGCTTGTTTTTGTTTGTTTTTCATATCATCAAGTGCTAGGCAAGACTTAATTGATGTAGTTGTTTTATTCCTACCTAAGGATGTTGAAAATAAAAGTTTTGTTGTTCTCTCTAAATTGGAGTTCTAGCATAACTTGTAGCATTTGCTTGACTAGTTGATTAAGCAGTAAATTTAAATTCATGTATTAAACAGAAATCTTTTAAACATAAGTTTTAGTAAAGAAAATTTTAGGCGTGAACATAAAACTGTGGCTACAACTTTGTGCTTTAAACATTTTATTTCTCTTATATAGTTCACAGATAAAATGTTTTAAAACTAGTTATTTTTGAATACATAGTTTTAGAGATAAACTGAGATATTTAAAAATAACTATTATAAATAGGTTGTTTATATGCTAGGGATACTTTTTCTTACAGAATTAAGCGATTAATAAGAATAGTTATTAGTTAATTAAGCATCTGGAAATCTTCAGTTTAGTACAAGGAGCTTAAGTTTCATACATTTCTATGACATCACTTTGTAGTAGGATACAACTGCTCTTTCCTCATTTCACTGTTGAGAAGACACTAAAAAAAGGAAAATTAGAAAAGCCAACTAGAACTTTGCTTTGTTTGGTGCGGGGCAGATAGAGTTATAGGGGTGATGGGAAGAATGAGTTTTGAATATACATCACACAGTCGGCAAGGCTCCCCCCATATGTCATCTCATGTACTCCTTGTCATAACCCCCTGAAGTGGGTGCACACGGCCCCATTTTATAGATGAGGACATTGAGAAGTAAAGGGGTTAAGGGAGCTACGTTCACTTTGACTATAGAAAGAAAAACTTTGCGAACTTTGACACCAGGTGGAGCTGCAGAAGCCGGGAAGTGTGTTCATAATAAACAAGTTTATGGATCATATTATATTGAAATCATACGAGTAAATGAACAATGTCTTTAAGTTATAGACAACAGATTCAAATCCTAGTCCAATTATTTAATACTTAAGTGATCTTGGGTGGGTTACCTAACCACTTCGTACCTGAATTTCCTCGCCTATAAAAAGAGAGGCGGCATACTACCGTTTTCAAAAAGCTGCTGTGAGAATGGAATGAAGCAGTGTGGCAGAAGCATGCAACGCCATGCCTAGAAGACAGTGAAAGGCTAAAACATAAGTCAATAGGTTTTATTTATTTATTTTCAAGGTTAAACTTGTATTTAGGTTTTTTTTTTTTTTTTTTTTTTTTTTTTTTTGCCATGGTAGAACAAATGCATTTTATTTTATTTTATTTTTTTATTATACTTTAAGTTCTAGGGTACATGTGCACAACTTGCAGGTTTGTTACATATGTATACATGCACCATGTTGGTGGGCTGCACCCATTAACTCGTCATTTACATTAGATATATCTCCTAATGCTATCCCTCCCCCCTCCCCCCACCCCACAACAGGCCCCAGTGTGTGATGTTCCCCTTCCTGTGTCCAAGTGTTCTCTTTGTTCAGTTCCCACCTATGAGTGAGAACATGCGGTGTTTGGTTTTTTGTCCTTGCGATAGTTTGCTGAGAATGATGGTTTCCAGTTTCATCCATGTCCCTACAAAGGACATGAACTCATCATTTTTTATGGCTGTATAGTATTCCATGGTATATATGTGCCACATTTTCTTAATCCAGTCTATCATTGTTGGACATTTGGGTTGGTTCCAAGTCTTTGCTATTGTGAATAGTGCTGCAATAAACATACATGTGCATGTGTCTCTACAGCAGCATGATTTATAATCCTTTGGGTGTATACCCAGTAATGGGATTTGTGGCTCAAATGGTATTTCTAGTTCTAGATCCCTGAGGAATTGCCACACTGTCTTCCACAATGGTTGAACTAGTTTACAGTCCCACCAACAGTGTAAAAGTGTTCCTATTTCTCCACATCCTCTCCAGCACCTGTTGTTTCCTGACTTTTTAATGATCGCCATTCTAACTGGTATGAGATGATATCTCATTGTGGTTTTGATTTGCATTTCTCTGATAGCCAGTGATGATGAGCATGGTTTCATGTGTCTGTTGGCTGCATAAATGTCTTCTTTTGAGAAGTGTCTGCTCCTGTCCTTGGCCCACTTTTTGATGGGGTTGTTTGTTTTTTTCTTGTAAATTTGAGTTCTTTGTAGATTCTGGATATTAGCCCTTTGTCAGATGGGTAGATTGCAAAAATTTTCTCCCATTCTGTAGGTTGCCTGTTCACTCTGATGGTAGTTTCTTTTGCTGTGCAGAAGCTCTTGAGTTTAATTAGATCCCATTTGTCAATTTTGGCTTTTGTTGCCATTGCTTTTGGTGTTTTAGACATGAAGTCCTTGCCCATGCCTATGTCCTCAATGGTATTGCCTAGGTTTTCTTCTAGGGTTTTTATTTTAGGTCTAACATTTAATAAGACAAACCCACAGCCAATATCATACTGAATGGGCAAAAACTGGAAGCATTCCCTTTGAAAACTGGCACAAGACAGGGATGCCCTCTCTCACCACTCCTATTCAACATAGTGTTGGAAGTTCTGGCCAGGGCAATCAGTCAGGAGAAAGACATAAAGGGTATTCAATTAGGTAAAGAGGAAGTCAAATTGTCCCTGTTTGCAGATGACATGATTGTATATCTAGAAAACCCCATCCTCTCAGCCCAAAATCTCCTTAGGCTGATAAGCAACTTCAGCAAAGTCTCAGGATACAAAATGAATGTGCAAAAATAACAAGCATTCTTATACACCAATAACAGACAAACAGAGAGCCAAATCATGAGTGAACTCCCATTCACAATTGCTTCAAAGAGAGTAAAATACCTAGGAATCCAACTCACAAGGGATGTGAAGGATCTCTTCAAGGAGAACTACAAATCACTGCTCAATAAAATAAAAGAGGACACAAACAAATGGAAGAATTTTCCATGCTCATGAATAGGAAGAATCAATATAGTGAAAATAGCCATACTTCCCAAGGTAATTTATAGATTCAATGCCATCCCCATCAAGCTACCAATGAGTTTCTTCACAGAATTGGAAAAAACTACTTTAAAGTTCATATGGAACCAAAAAAGAGCCCACATTGCCAAGTCAATCCTAAGCCAAAAGAACAGAACTGGAGGCATCACACTAGCTGACTTCAAACTACACTACAAGGCTATAGTAACCAAAACAGCATGGTACTGGTACCAAAACAGAGATATAGACCAATGGAACAAAACACAGCCCTCAGAAATAATACCACACATCTACAACCATCTGATCTTTGACAAACCTGACAAAAACAAGAAATGGGGAAAGGATTCCCTATTTAATAAATGGTGCTGGGAAAACTGGCTACCATATGTAGAAAGCTGAAACTGGATCCCTTCCTTACACTTTATACAAAAATTAATTCAAGATGGATTAAAGACTTAAAGGTTAGACCTAAAACTGTATTTAGGTTTAAATATCATCTGGTTCTAAAATCTGTCTGAAACTATTATATGCTGTTGCTAGACTTGACTGTGTCGGAAACCTTACATTTTTTTTGATTTTTAGAAAAGAAGCCATATATTTTTAACTTTTCCCAAGGTCTCAGAAAGCATCATATTTTGAAACCTTTAGACCCATCAGCTACATATGCTTCACAAGTAGGTGATAGTTTATCCTAACTGCAAGCAAATCAATTATAGGGAACAGAGGTCCTTAGTAGTGTTCAACTTTTTAACCTGTAAATTTATTTTGGTGAAGGACAGTAACATCGTATAATCAATGTTAACAGGAATCCAATATATAAATAAATAGAAGCAGTAGCTGAATTTTAACCAGACCAGGGAAACAACGCCTGTCATCATTATCCTCCTCAGCTGTTATATTACTATATCTTGGCACTATGTACAATTTTATGGTTTTTATATCATGCAGTCTTTTGGAATCATGATTGCACTTTACCAAGGAATGGCTTTATTCCTCAGAACGATAGCCATTGTTTTAGAAAAAAGAAAATGATGTATTTTACTGGCTGCAAAGAAAACAAACACAAAAGATCTCTGCTCATTGAAATGAGTGAAATACCACGTGGCTGACAACATTAAAATTCATTGTTTAATATTAATGGTAAGCTTAGGTATGTAAAGCAAGACCTTCTATTATTTTTACATGAATGTGTTAGCATCAGACATAAGTACATCTTAAAAGGAGAGGAATTTGGTTCATTTTCCATAAGCACCCAGAAATTCAGATGCTTACGTAAAGCTTATCTGAACTACCTAAACACAGTTAAGTTTGCGAATCTTAGCAGAGCAGGACTGCATGTGAGATTGTCAGCATTTAGCTGCCAACTCAGACACAAATATTAAGAAAGAAGACTATTTCTGGCATTCTGTTATTTCTATATCTAATTTCCATTGTCAAACTAAAAACGGAAAAGTGAAATTTGAGACCAGGATTTGAGACTCAGTTCATTCCTAGTCCCCAAGGTGGTAGTTAAATTAGCTCATATTGACAATGAATTGTTGTCCTTAGATACGTGTTTGAGAAACAGTCAATGACTTCTTTTAATAAGTTAATTGTGTATATAAGCGCAAAGAAACAGAGTCTAACAGGTTCACAAGTATCTTTCATTTGTGGAGGTAAGTTAGCAAGTTAAGTTAGGTGACTCATTGTAATCATACTGATTGGACTTTGTCACCTTCCAACAGTAGATTCTTTGCAATGCAACTGACACATCATGACAGATGGCAACAGCAGGGAGGCCTAACCACCTAGAATAATTTTGTAAAGTTCAGAAAAAAGTAACAAACTGTCAAATGAAACTATGAGAATTTGCTAAAATTTCTAGACATAAATAACAGCCTAAACATCTTCTCTTAAACTTGTTCTTCTTAGATGACCAAATCTGATTACCCCACAAGCATTATTTTGTCTATTCCAAAGGTGAAGAATTGCTGGAAGGGTTATGGAACAGTGAAAGAAGAAACATCAAGATGAGTTGATTTATTTCAAAGTGTGAATGGGGCAGGGCCATTGGGCACTACTGGAACAGCATACAGGGCCTCCAGTTTTTCAGAGGCTTATTGTTTCATATTTAAAAAAACCTTCATTTGATAGTATAGTAGAGAGACTATAGTTAACAATAATTTGTTGTATATTTCAAAATAGCTAGAAAAATTGGAATGTTCCCAACACAAAGATGAATGTTTGAGGTGATGGATATCCCAATTGCCCTGACATAATCCTTACACATTATGTACATGTACCAAAATATCACATATATCCCCAAAATATACACAACTACTATAGAGCAATAAAAAGAAAAAGAATACCCTTCATTTGATTCTAAATAGAATAAATTACAAATCAGAGATTAATACTCAATACAATATCTGCCATTCATTCATTTTTAATTTTATTATTTATAAAGGCTTTTACATTAGCAATTTGTAGGTTAGATTCTTTTCTCCTTTGGAAGGATTAGCAAATATGCATGATAATTGCTGAGAAATCATGACCAGCTGTAACTTAAATTAGTTCTTTGTGGTCAAGTAATACCAAAAAGCAAATTTTTAAAATCTTGAAAATTATATTTAATATGATTGAGACATCATCTTAGTATGTTTGGTGTAGTAGGGAATAGGGTTCCCAAATATAAAAGAGTGGAAGATCTAGGAATGTATTGATTTGGGAAAAAATTGAGGAATACTGATTTGAGAATGAGGCATCCTAGATGCATGTAAACATACAGGAAATTTGAATGTTTATATGCTCAGCAACTACAAGAGCCTGAATTGTTGTAGCTACAAACAACAGACCATAAGTGTTGGTCAGGAAAGGAGAGTATAACTCTTTGAGTCTAATTAGCGTTGGATTTAAAGTTTGTGGTTAATGCGTATTTGTTATTTCTTTTCATTTTTTGGTATAATGTTTCCATTTCTTTCTTCAGATTTGTATAAACTTGTGTAAGTAACTCTTCCTTGTTTATGTTATCCAATAACGATTTTTCTTAAAAGAGAACATATAGAAAGGTACACATCATTTATTTTGGAAAGCCTTTAGTACACTGAGTATTCACTGTTAGGAAGAGGCATGGATTGGATTAAGTCGTTAGTGAATTATATCATAAAGCTTGCAAGTTAATTAAATATGTAGAAGATGACAATGACTTATGATGATATGTTAAATCTGTCTTAAATGTTCCTGATTGTTAGAATAATTTTAGGTTTTTGTGAAAAGAAAGAATTCTTGGATTCCACCAATGATCTACTTAATTTGACTCTTTAGGAGAGAGGTCTACCAATTGAATGTCATCAGATGGGTCTTCTGATCAGATGTGCTTGATAAACATGACATTAACTCAATATTCTCAGATAATTTTGTTATTTGGTCTAAAAATTGGAAATACTCATTATCATAAAGTCTATTCTGATCCACTCTTGAATTTGGTCAGCTTTGTTGATTAGAACATACTGATTATGTGGTTGACGGCCAGTTGCCTTCTGCCCCATTGTTGAGAATCATACTTTTATCTCTGACTTGTCAAAGGTAAAGAGGAGGAAATGAAATACCCAATAAACATAGATAAGTCAACAGAAATGTGCAGGAAAACGTATAACCTTTTGATACTCAAAATAATTCCAACTTTAAGCTTGTGTCATCTTGTCGGAGGATCGTTGTTATTGTGTGCATGACAATAGTACATTTAAAAATAATACCTCAATTCTTGGGAGTAGAGAGCTTGAATACCTTTATTATATAATAAAATTGGAAATTTATCTGAATTCAAAATAAAAAAGTGAGTCTAATGAGTAAATACTTAAAGGGGGAAGAAAAAAGTTTACAAACATGTAAAAATCATTTTCACAATCTATTATTATATAAGGCAAGATAAGATTAATGAAGTCAGGACCTATAATATAGGTGTTGAGAAGAAGAAAGAGGAGGCAGGATCTCAATAAAAAAGAAAGCAGTAACAATAATTGGCTTAATTTTCATGTTAATCAGTCTTATTTTACCACATTAAGTCAATAAGAAGACATTATTTACTCTTTTGGTCTCTTCAAACTTTATGCAGACCTTTATTTTTGCACCTGCCAACTTTGGCATGGTTTTCTCTCTTCCTTACCAAGGACAGTGTTTTGTTCCTAATTCTTTTATCCTCAGATATTAACATTAGCTAATATAAAGCAATAGCATAAACATTCAACAATAATTGACAGATTGCATTTTTTTAAAAACCTGGTCCTTATCCACAATGCTAATCAATATAGACTCAATCAGAAGAATAATTGTTTTGTGTAATTGAAGTTAGCTCTATTATTTAATAGTTTAAGAAAAATCATTTTTTAGACCAGCTTTTTTCAAAAAGGTGTAGCAGTTATAATAAAAATATTTAAAGATGACTGGGCGTGGTGGCTCATGCCTGTAATCCCAGCACTTTGGGAGGCCGAGGCAGGCAGATCACTAGGTCAGGAGATTGAGACCATCCTGGCTAACAGGGTGAAACCCCATCTCTACTAAAAATACAAAAAAATTAGCTGGGCGTGGTGGCGGGCACCTGTAGTCCCAGCTACTCGGGAGGCTGAGGCAGGAGAATGGCATGAACCTGGGAGGCGAAGCTTGCAGTGAGCCAAGATCCCACCACTGCACTCCAGCCTGGGCGACAGAGCAAGACTCCATCTAAAATATATATGTGTGTGTGTGTGTGTGTGTGTGTGTGTGTGTGTACATGTCATCAAAAAGAATTATGGAATGTTGGAATATTGTCATGTGACAGTATAGCCTCATGATCCCAATATTTGTACAAAGAAGCCCTCTAACTCTGCTCAGAGATCTCCAGCTCTCTGTCTTGGAGCAAAATCCACTGGACTCTCAGAAAACTTTATTACAAGGAATTTTCTGATTTTTGTCTGAAACAAATCTTCCCTCTAACAGCTATTTTTAGATAGTGTTATTTTCTGGTAATCTACAAAGCAAATCTAATCTATCTTATCTATTGAAGACCTTATAAATATTTAAGAAAATCATCCCTGTGCCCACAGGTTTTCTCATTCTCACATTTTTCATGGTAAAAACAACACATTGCTCAAAATAAGATTTGTCTGCTTGTGCAGTGCTGCTTGCTGTTGTCATTGCCGGACCTGTAAGAACAGAGGAAGCTTATCAAAGATCTAGGAATCATTTAGAGGAGGCTGCTGATAGAGCACCTAAAGAGAGAAAGTTCCTTCAGTCTGAAAAAAAAGAGATAAGAGTAAACATTATTCTCATGTGCAAGTATGTATAGTTAATATTTTTGAAACTTAATAGACAATTCTGAAGGAGGAAGTTTCAAGGTAACAGGAATATTTTACATAATAGTCTATTCTTATCAATGTTGTTGCTATTATTGTCTTTATAGCAGCATACAATATAGGAAAAGCAGAACTTTGTACAGAGACAGGGATTGATTTTAGAGAAATCCAGAATGCCATTTTTTTTCCTTGATGCATAGTCACAGTGCCGTGCTGGGGGGTTTTAGGTCGAGTGACAAGACCCTAGTTGTTATTTCAACAACCTTCCCTGCTGGGAAACTCAGTTTGTGAAACAGTCAATTTTCCTGAAAATAAATTGAGATTAGTAAATAGGAAATAAAAGACATTTCTTGAGGCTTTTGCTTCTTCTTAAGATTAAGGCATTGTAGAAGTCTGAATGAAAAATTAAGGGATTTTCACCAAGAAAGAACAACAGACTTTCCCAGCAGCCAACACAAGAGGTGTGGTCTTGGGTTATCACCCTCTTAGCTGGCTGAGAAACTTCATTGGTCTAGACCATGACAAGTTCAGCCATTCTGATTCATGCTAACAAAGCTTTCTAAAGACTAAATACATAAAAGCAGCATACTGGTATGTTATTTCACAGTGAATGAAGGTCAAATGAACTGGTTATCACTGAATATCCACTCACAATCTTTTCTCAGGATGGTCATGTTAGTTGACAAATAGAAAGCACCAAGGGTTAATGTTATAATCCTACAATAGACAAACATCTCCATCTGTACATCTTTTGATCTTAGGCTTCAGGGACTGACCTAACTCCTATATAACTGACCATTTTTTTCCACTTATATATAACACATCAACTGGTTACAATTAAGTCTTTTAGCCATCTTCTCAATGATCCATTTTATATTTAGTATGCACTGTGTTCCCAGAATGGAAACTTGTTTTCAAGTTCTTAGAGTGGTGTCTGGTAGAGGTGGGTGGTAGTGGTCAGCTTATTGTTAACTCTTTGCTATTATCCACAGAAAACTCTGACAAATGTATATGGAAATTATTTAAATATGATTGTCAAATTAGGTGCTTAAGCTCTCATGAAATCAAACGAGTAAATCGTACAAAGAAATGAGTAAAAGGAGAATCTAATAGTGGCATCTAATTGTAGTTTTTCCTAGCAAATACTCTTGGGAAGCATAAATCATCCCCTATTGACTATATAGGAAAATGGAGACCTTTTCACATAGGTTGAATATTTTGATTGTTTTAATATATATTAGCTCCTCTTCAAATATTTTGTGGAGTACAATAGAGAGTTTTAATATGCTACACAAATACAGTTCTTTAAACAGCCTCTGTTAACAACTGCCACGCATGACTTTTCACACTAACAAAACTAAGACTGTGACATCTGGTACTGGTGAAGTATTCCATTTGGGGCAAACTAGGATGCAGGTATTATGACAAAACTGTTAACAGATTTGGTCACTAAATGCAGGTCAAATTTCCTTTTCACGTTTGAGATAGGCCTGAAAAATAAAGGATAGGGCAACATTTTGTTGAATTACTGTGTGCCCTGCAAATATGTATGGCATTTTCAAGTTGTGAACTTGGTGCCATCCTTCAATATATAAATTTCAGTTTTAGATACTTGGATTCAAATAATAACTATGTTGTGAATGTAATGAGTATTCTGTACTTAATCACTTCGCATGGTAAAAACACTTTAAGTAGGATTAAGGACCCTAGATTAAGAGGGTCCATTACCAGCAAATTTTCACACTGTTAAATTACAACTTGACTGTATTACACCTCCCTTAGAAAACTTCAGCTGTAAAGTAGGAGTCATATTTTCAAGAGAGGTTGCTGTGTTTTGAATATTAATGCAGCAGTTTGTCTACTAAAGGGACCACATAAAGCAAAACATTGTTTTGCAATCACAGATTTTAATTCAACTTTTCTTTTCCTCTCTAGACAGTTACTGTGAAATGTCCACAAAACCAAACTTTTTGCTTTTAGTATATCCTCTTCTCTCTTAGACAATGTACAAACCTTTAAGAAATAATTAAATGTAGAAATATTTGTAATTTATAGATTTATGTCCATGTCTGTTTTATTGAGCCACATGAATAAAACAATATAACTGCCCTTTCAAGACAATTGAAAAATTTCATCAAGCTCTCAAAAAGGTCTCAAAAAGCCTTATTGCTTGTGTAACATTGAGTTTCATCTTTCAAATGATGCAAAAATATGATGAAATAACTTTCCTAATCAACAAAGCTTTGTTTGCTGATTATATTCCTTTTCAGAAATATTCATTTATTCTCTCTTTTTTTTAAATTTGTCAAATTGACCGATGATAAGAGAAAAATTATTTTGTGAAATGAGGAAATATTTATCTGAAAAAGATGTGTGTGTGCACATATGTGTATACTGTGGCAGTTTTTACAAATCTAAAAAACGACGAATTAGTGTTCTAAGAATGAAGGATGGATACCAAATACTAGCGCCATTCAACAGCTAATATTTGTTGAGTGTTTTTGCATTTTAGAAAATCATTCCACATATAGTGTCTCTTTAATCTTCAGTGATCTTATAAAGTTGATTTTATCCTCATTTTACAGATAAGAAAACTATAGCTCAGAGAAGTTGAACAATTTGTTTCCTTTTTTGTTTATGTCTTAAAACATTTACACTAGTCAGTGTTTTAAGGTTTTTTCCCTTGGTATTTCGTCCAGATAATTCTATTCCTCCTTCTCCCTTAACTCTTTAAGTCCAGTTTAGCCCACCAAATATTTACTTCATTTTCTTATTAGCACTTATCACTCCATAAAATTATATTTTTAGTAGTTTGAACATAATTTAGAAACTTGAAGATTATTTGAATGTAAACTCCAGAAAGGCAAGAAATTTGTCAGCTCTGCTTAATGCTACATTTCAGCTCAAAGAATAGTGCCTGATAACATAGGAGAGCCTTAATATTTATTGAATGAAAGAATAAATGAATGAGCATCAACAAGGTGCCTGGTACTTGATTGGGAAATGGGGCTATGAGGATGAAAGAGACATGGCTCCTGCTTTCCAATAACTCACAACTTAATTTACAGCAACAAGTGGAAATGAAGAAATGTACTAATTCCAATTATGATGTTAGCATTGGGCATATGGCCTCAGGTGCTTCTGTCTTGAGGCTGTACTGCTTGATTTCACATAGTCACTTCTGTGGGGTTTAGGACACAGAACACAGAGTATCATCTGCTGTGAGGTTCTTTGTGTTTCCTCACTCTTGGAGAGACACACTCCTGAGAATTTATGTCTATCCTAAATTACTAGAGGTAGGGTGGGGGTGGGGACCAGAAGGCTGACATCTGCTCAGCGTCATTGTTACTGTTAGGTGTGGTATTTAGGAAGGTCAAGTTAAGAATTTCTCCTTTTACTACATGGGATCATATGTTTATAATTTTATGCTTATTTTTATGGGAAACACAATATATTGTCTTGGCTAAACTGACCAGTTGATGACAATGGAATGGATTTAAAATTTCTAAACGACAGGTTGTTAATGGCTAAGTGCTTTTAAGCAAGCCTCTTAGATTCCCTGAACCTCTGTTTCCTCATGTGTAAAATGGAGATGTAAGTGCACCTATATATATTATTACTGGGAGGATTAAATGAAGTGATGGATGTGATCAGACACCTCGACAAACCACTTCAGATCCCCCAGCTCACCTTCTTCCTGTTCCAGCTGTGATCAGTTCTGTGCAGGTGCAGCAGCTGGAAGGGAATCAACTTTACAAAAGCACAACTTCACAGCCCTTCACCCTAGGGCCTGTGCCAAATGCATTTCGCTGTTTGCCCTAGGCATTTCTTTTTGATGCTGGGGAGGGGACGCTGTGGGATACTGCTCAGGGCTCACACATGAATGGCCCAGAAACGTGGGGGCAGTAATGAGATCTATGGTGAACTCCGGCAATTGGAAGATGGGGTGGAGGATACAATCTTCTCTTTTCTCTTCCTGTACAGACTGTGCTGAGATGCAGTTACAAAGCTTTTGGAAGGATGATGCAGTGAGATTAGGCAATTAGTTACACTTTGAGGTGACCAGCCGGTAATGCATCCTCTGCATCCTCCTACAGGGCTTTCCCTCGTTGCTTCTTAATTGCCTTTGTCCCTCACTGTTGCTCTTTGGGATTGTACTCCTTAATACAATAGCAGTCCATAAACTTTTGCCTCAGCCTTTGCTTTCTGACAGAATGTAAGGTGTTTCATTCAGTGGTTGGTTCCAAATATGTGCTGAATGTTTTGTTTTATTGTAAACTAAGACCAATAGGTTAGTAATTGCCAATGTTGATGAAAATAAATACAGGTAAAATTTCCTTTTCCAAATTCTGTGGTCACTTTCAGAAGACAATACAAAGTCATATAACAAAGGATGTTCTTATCTAATACTGTATATACCTAGATACATTTTATGTCTAATAGGAAACTTTCAACAGTACCTTAGAAGTAATAACTTATATTTGACTTACAGTATTTTTACTCAAAGCAGGCCAGAAACCATTATTCACCATGGTCACAAGCCCTCCACAGATACCACACTGGTAAAAAATATTTTTAATGAAGTTCTTAAGTGGAATGTTCCCCCTGCAAAATTAACTATCTGTCTTAGAGTGACATGTGAACTACCAAAGTGGTAAAACCAAGAAAAATCCTGGTGGTTAATGCTAACTAGGAAGTCTACAATGGTGAATACTATGTGAGAACCAATATACCTCCCCTTTTACATTGGCTCATTAGTATGAAGAAGAGTTCCAGGGTGAAGTTTGTAAACTTATTTTCTGGTCTACCTTAGATTTCCTTTTTAAAGGCTCTTTAAATTTCAGGTCCTTTCTTTTAAGATTCTTTTTAATTTCTATGAACAACCATATATTGTCCTGAATATTAATATTAGAGGACTACCCTGGTCTGGGAAATCCATTTTGAAACAAACATAATGCTTATTTGTATTTTTTGATACATGTAGTTTCTTTCCTTGTGATGAGATGTTTACCAATTTTTTCCCCTGAAATATTCTTTCAGTTTAAAAGACATACACCTTTTTCTCTAAACTGAAAAGAATTTCTTTTTTCACAGTTACATATTTAGTTGATAGTGTGTTGCTTATTCTCACTAACTGCTTTATAAATATTCTCCAGTTATTTTAGAGACACATGTTTGGAGTTTTCTAACAATGCTCTTTAATGATAGAGATCATACAATTTCTCTTGTGTGTTCTACAAACTTCCTAGGGTAGTGCCTACCATAACCATGTTAGGGTAATTCATTTTTGTGAAGGTCTAATGAAGACCTTTTTGTTTTTCTAAATAAATGAACTGACGTATGTCTCAATATTTTCCTTATCAACAGAAGACATAATTAGCTGCATTTTAATGCTAAACAAGCATAACCTATTGTTTGGGAGGATCATGATTGTTTTTTAAAGTCATGTTACAAAGTGCAAAGATGACTTTGTCAAGCAGAGTGGTAAGAGCTGTGTGTTGTTAGTAATTGTAAAGGAATAAAGCCCTGCCAGTGCAGGCAACAGAAAAGCTGCCAAAGCTGAAAAGTACCTGGCTAGGTTTTAAAGGACAGGAATACAATACTCTTACTAAGACACACTTTATAAAGTCCAATTCACAGCCAAGGAAAACAGCTTTTGGAGCTTTTGGGTGTCCATAAACAGCTAGATGAATGCAAAGAAGCCAAAACCAGGGATGAGTAGGGTATTTAAACGCTCAACTTGCTCAGCTGCCACAGTGTCCTCCCCACCCACCAAGGCACTGGCACAAAAAGTACCAAGGAACGCCCTACATGTTTGTGATTTATGGAAAATCTACACATGGACGACAAAGAAAAAAAATGAAGTATGCATTCAGTTGTTGTATTGTAAATTATGAAAAATATCTGGCTCATTTTCTGAAGGCAATCCTATTACATGATGCTAGAGAAAAAGGGAGGATGGTCCAGTATCAACCCTCAGATAATGTGTTGTGGTCATTCAAGTCTTAGGCGACAATTGCTCAC
Source organism: Homo sapiens (assembly GCF_000001405.40). Lineage (NCBI taxonomy): Eukaryota > Metazoa > Chordata > Mammalia > Primates > Hominidae > Homo > Homo sapiens. The sequence goes on from NC_000004.12 coordinate 110,840,294, forward strand.
TGATAAGCCAGTTCAAGCATTTTCTTAGCCAAGATACTTCATAAACCTTGCCAAGAGAAAAGGGCATGTGGCAGTAAGTTGTAAAGTGATAAAAAGCAGACATGGGTGGAAAATATTTTATCAAGAAAGATAAAATAAAGAAATTATATGGATATGATAACAGCACAACAAAGAATATTTTATAGAAAAAATCTTGTAATGTTGCCAACTACTAAGGCAAAATGAATGAAGAGCAAATGGGTTGTATTTCAAACACATACCATTACACTGAGCAACAGTAACATTTTACTACCCGAGTCACATTTTTTGACTGATGCAATAAAATTTGCAATATTCAAAGAAAAACATAGGATTTATATCTTTTTTAACTTCAATTTTAAAAATGGATTTTATGGTTAACAATGCAATAAAAAAGGTTTTGAAATGTTTTGAATCGTGTTATAGTTCTGAGGAAGCACCACACTATTAACAACCAAAGCAGAAATATGGAGTTTCCTATGGTTGTTAGACTATTAGATAATCCTAGCACGCTTTTAATGGAGAGATTTTATACTATAATACTTCAATAATTATTATATTTAAATGGTTCATAGTAATTAGAATAGTCTAGCAAGGCTTCATGGATCATAAATTGGGAATGTTTTCTATGATTCAGAGACTTTCTTCTAAATGATGAGCCAGTTCTACTTTTATTTATTTCATTTCATTCAGCTTCTGTTGGTGGGACCCCAAATTAGAGATAAGATTCATGAAATATGGAACAAAAATAATTTTCTTTACATCTTTCCTCCTCATCTTTTTTTTTTTTTTTTTTTTTTTTTGAGACGGAGTCTCGCTCTGTTGCCCAGGCTGGAGTGCAGTGGCGCGATCTCGGCTCACTGCAAGCTCCGCCTCCCGGGTTCATGCCATTCTCCTGCCTCAGCCTCCCGCGTAGCTAGGACTACAGGCGCCCGCCACCACGCCCGGCTAATTTTTTTGTATTTTTTAGTAGAGACGGGGTTTCACTGTGTTAGCCAGGATGGTCTCGATCTCCTGACCTCATGATCCGCCCGCCTCGGCCTCCCAAAGTGCTGGGATTACAGGCGTGAGCCACCGCGCCCGGCCCTCATCTTCTTATCTTTTGTTTGCTTGAGACTATTGTGGTTAGAGAACTCAGCAAAAGAGAACTTAGATTCTGGGTAGTAAGTAGAACATTTTTCTTTTTTTTAAGAAGTCAAAACTGAAAGCTAGTATAGCAATCCTATTACCACATCTAAATCCTCTAAACTCAATGGATCACTCTATTTGAACAGTTTTTTAAAAATTAAATATAATCATCTGTTAAGCAGAGGTAAATTTCTTCCCTTCCTGCCACTCTTGTGTGTGCTGAGAGATAGAGCAATAAAAACATTAATTTTTTTAAAAGCGGAATTTTACAATATCTTTGGAAAGGCTTTCTGACTCCACAGTTTTGCCTTTGCTTTGGGAATAAATTTTGCTTTCAGCATTATTCTAACCAGAAATTATTCTGCTAAGCAGAATTCTGTAACAGAGTAAGCCCTGGAAGTTGCTTGCTGCACTCATAATTTCAGAGTTTTCCAAGAGTTCTTCAGGCACAGCCCAGCACATCAACTCAACATGTTTCTAGATGTATATTTATTTTGGTGCATGGTGGTTCTAAAACAAAAGCCAAAATACACTGTTAACTGGTCCACAATAATGTACTTTCTAAGGAAGTTTTATTTGCACTTGAATATCTTTTTTTTTTTTTTTTTTTTTTTCTGTCACCAGGCTGGAGTGCAGTAGCACGATCTTGGCTCACTACAACCTCTGCCTCCTGGATTCAAGCAATTCCCCTGCCTCTGCCTCCTGAGTAGCTGGGACTACAGGTGCGCACCACCATGCCGGGCTAATTTTTTGTATTTTAGTAGAGATGGGTTTCACCATGTTGGCCGGGATGGTCTCAATATCCTGACCTGGTGATCCACAGGCCTCGGCCTCCCAAAGTGCTGGGATTACAGATGTGAGCCACTGCACCCAGCCACACCTGAATATCTTTAAAAAATTTGTTTTTTGAATTAACTAAGAGGAATAATATGAATTTGTATTTCATGTGGCATTAAGAGAGATGTGTCTGTGGTGAACAAAAGATTAATGTTAATTTATAAGATTGATGGAAATCTTATGAAGGCTACTACCTTTTTATCTGATTTAGGGAGAATCTAGTATTCTCTTCTGACGTGGAGTGAAATGCTCTAAGCTATGCAGGCGGTTTAATCTCATACAATGTGTAAGATGCAAGTTTGAAAATTCCTGGAAATTCCTGAAGTTCAGTGCGTAGTATACGTGGTGTCAAAAACATTTTGTATTTTTAAATTTATTTTCCAGACCCTTTCAGTCTCTATATTACAGTCTGTTTCTCTCAGTGCCATTAGCTGTCCTGCTTCTCTGAGGCATCCACAAATCCATTGTCACTGCAGCACCAGCCACCACTCTCTTTAGGAATTTGAAGATTCCTAAGAGAGGCTGCTCTAGCTGTGTGACCTCAGGAGATTTCTTTGCTTCTCTGGACCTTGGTTTCCTCATCGGTGTGGCAAGTGAGCAAAATTGGAAATATTTCCAAAAAAGTGGCTTTCTAAAAGGCATAGCTGCCTTTTAAACAGGAAGATAAATATAAGAGCACTTTGACTACCCAACTAGTGGTGCCTATGCCAGAGATTAGTCTCTTTAAGAATGAAATCTTGATAATGGTATAGCTGTGTTTAGATCAAGGAAATAAATGTCAGAATGGTCCTTTTGAAGTTTTTGCTCTCTTTTTCTCAGCTTTAGAATCAAGAAATATTTGAAGTATGCTATCAGTGGAATCGTATTTGAAGCTGAGATGAAAGACTTGATCTGCCTTTTATTAGTAGTGATTTTTTGGTGGTCTTTTCCTCAGTGGTACCTGGTTACTAGGGGTTTTTATTTTTTATTTCTTTTTCTGAAATGGTCTTCAGACAGTACCCTCTTTGCCACCTAATTTTTACCACTCCCTAATGACTTGTTCAGAGTCCTTTTCCCATATGAAGCCCCTTCAGCAACAAAAATGACTGATTATCTTCTTTGTGTGAATCCAACTCTTCATTTTTTTCTGCCAATCATTTGGCAATTAATCATCTTCTCTCTTATGGTTGTCATTGTAGTTGAATTTTATCTTTTTCTATACTTTTGTCCCCTAACAAAAATAAAGGTTCTTTGTAAGAGCATGAGAAGGTGATTATGACTTCACCTTTCGGAGTCAAAATTTCAAAGAGCAAATGAATCATGTATCTTTTTGTTGTAGGACCTTGGGAAAGTAATTCCACCCACCCCTGCAAGCCTAACTTTCTCATCTCTAAAATGGGATGGTGACTATAGTAGAACCCTCTTTTTTTTTTTTTTTTTTGTTGAGACAGAGTCTCTCTGTCGCCCAGGCTGGAGTACAGTGGCGCGATCTCAGCTCACTGCAAGCTCCTTCTCCTGGGTTCACGCCATTCTCCTGCCTCAGCCTCTCCAGTAGCTGGGACTACAGGCGCCCGCCGCCACGCCTGGCTAATTTTTTTGTATTTTTAGTAGGGACGGGGTTTCACCATGTTAGCCAGGATGGTCTCCATCTTCTGACCTCGTGATCCACCCGCCTCAGCCTCCCAAAGTGCTGGGATTACAGGCGTGAGCCACCGCGCCCGGCCCCAGTAGAACCCTCTTCTGTCATTTTGAGGATTCAGGCCATAAATCATGTAAGGTCCCTAACAAAACGCTTAGTACATAGAAAACCCTCAATAATTACTGGTATTCTTTGAAGGCGCGGATGGATCTTGGCAGTTCTTTTTATATCTGTACCACCTCCCATAGTGCCTTGTGACCAGCAGGTGCTCAGTTTATATTTGTTGCCTAATTATTTTCTTGATGTCTTTTTAGATGTTTGTTCTATATGCAACTCAGCTTCTTAAGGCTCAGGGATCAGGATAGTGCAGAGAAAAAGGCTTGAATTACATTAGAAGTAGGAATGAAAGTGGGCTGAGCCTCCACTGGAGGAATCTGTGGAGTACTTGCTCCTCACATTTCTGTTTCCAATCGGAAGAGACAAGGGGAGATATACCGTTTCCTCTGAATAGACAATCTTTCTGTCCCAGGATCTCTGTCTTCTATGATTCTCCATGTAAATATGGGGTCCTAATTGTTTTCTACTTGTTGAGGTTTGTGGCCACCTTTAGAAAATATTCTTTGTTTCAGGCATGATATTGGCTTGGCCACTCCCAAATCTGGCGCGTTGACCAGGTCACACCCCTGCAGCAGATACTTCTCACTAAAGCAGACTGGCTGTCATCACTTCAGGGTGAGTCCCTTTCCTCACTTGGGACATTGTCTTGGAGGTTGCATCAGTCACGATTGGCTAGGTTGTGTTGAAGTAACAAACAACCTCAAAATGTCAGAAGCTTACAATAAAAAGAATGCATCTCTTGGCTTGTGTTATATGCCCATCAGCAGTCACCTAAGGGCTCTCTTTTTCAGCCTCATTTTTTCTCCTTCTAAAACACCAGCCGAGAACATTGCCCAGAACTATGGAAGAGGGAAAAAATAACTTGGTGCAACACATGTAGGCTTTTAAAGCTCCTGCCCAGAAGTGATGCTATATTACTTCTCACACTTCATTCGTCTAAGGAAGTCAGATGAACAAACATGACTTCAGCATAATGAGGAGGTAGAATCCTCCAGCAGGGAGAGAAACCAGGTATTGGCAAAGAGTGATGCATTCTGCAACAGAGGCTAAAGGATGACTTTTTTTTTTTTTTAACTTTCCCCCATTATTTGGTCAAGAATCCCAGTTGAGGTAACTAGTCATCAGCTCCAATCGACATTCTTTTTGGGAGGCCTATAAAGACCTTTTCATGTAGTTGCTCATTTTGCCTTCCGACTTGAGCTGTGCTTGCTCTGGTGGTCATCGTACAGGATAGACTCTTTGTGGGACTCTTGCCACAAATGCACTTTTTTTTTTTTTTTAAAGCACAGAAAGTACTATTTATTTCACATTCATAAAATGGCTCAGCTTAAAGCTGGTGACTGTCACAGATAACATCACTCTGGGTGATACATTATTCAAAACTGGCAGCTGAAAGAATCCCTTTATGATATGAGCAAGTGAAAAAAGCAGTAACGTTCAATTTTCAGTGCTTCCAGATCACATGGGTTATATACAACCTTGTTATTTCCCTCTTAATTAATAACAATAATTGCAATGTTAATGAAAAACACTTGTTCTATGCTAGGCACTCTCCTAAGTGCTGTATATAAACTAACACAGTTAATGTTCACAACAATCCTATGAAGTAGGTAGTTTTATTATCACAATTTTACAGTTGGGGAAATTGAGTCACAGAGGTTAAGCAAGTTGCACATGATTATTCAGCTAGAAGGAAATATGACTGACATTTGAACTCCATGAAATCTGGGTCCAAAGTGTGTGTGCTTAGCCATTTGCTAAATTCCCTTGTAAACAGGATGGTACAAGTAAAATGCTTAACACAGCGCCTGGGTTAAGTTCCCGGTACATGATCACTGCTGCTAGTGATGCCAAGGTTGGCTCGCTTAACCTTTCTTTCTTTGAAGAAGTAGCATGTACTTTTAATATAATGACTCTTCATTCTACACAGAATGACTATAAGATGTGTGTGAACCAGGCAATGCTACTGTCATTTAATAGGAGACAGCTAAAAAAACACAGTGATTCCGCACTTAGGCTTGCGCATTTTCTTTTCTGCTGTTGATCCACTGACATTGGCCATATCCAAAATGCAGTGGGGACTTTACCCAGAAAGGATATAGTTCAAGATGAGTAGGCTTATCTCACTCTGTTACTTCTCTGTCTATTCAGGAATACAAAGCTAATTTGTAGGTGATATTATATTTTCATCTCATGTTTTATATGCAACCTCTATCCATGTTAATGGGAATTTTTTTGTGCTTACTCTAGGGAAAATTGATTCTAATTATTGAGTATAATTTATTCTAACCCCTTGATGGAATAATTTATACTCTTGAGATACTCTTGAAATGTGTAACCAATGGGGAACTCTATTTATACATAAGTTTTTACACATCTTTCAATTAGATAAGAAATCCAAGTGCAAAACCCATCACTCAAGGAAAGCATATGAGTTTGTAACACTCCCGAGAGGTTTTTTGGTCCATAAACCAATAAATGGATTACACTTACAGGGTAAAATTCTTCTCTCAGGTCTCATGTGAAGCTCCTATTGACTTACCTGTGAGGCAGCTCACAGGGGATGTGAGATATTTTAGGCTGCAAGGAAAGAAGTGGTCATTTTTTCATATAATCAATTTCAGGGCTCCGATATTGATTGTTATAAAGAATATTTTGTTAGGAGACCAGCTATTACATGTTTAAATACAGATTTATTTGGTTATAAATTCTACAGACAATAGGAATTTTAGCAAGGAAAAGTGAGTGTACCTTTCTAATATAAAGGACACAAATTTATGTGTTTTTGTAAGTAGAAATGAAATCATTGGTATGCGGTTTATGGTGTAGCAGTAATTGCAGCATACATTTAATGTGAGGCAATAGATAGTATATGTATTTTTTCACCTCAGAGTTTCTGGAATTTCATGAAAAAATAAAGTGAAAGTTTCTTGCACTAAACGTTGCAGTTTATATTTTACCTAAATTGTATTATTACAATAAAAATCACCAATGGAAAAAATGTGATTAATATAGATTCCAGTTAACATAATTTTTGAGAGCAGCTATAAAGTGGTTTATAAACTCTGTATTATATTTTGTATTAAAATTCAGTTATAATTTTAGAGAGTCACTGTTTTATAGAGAGATTTAGGAATCATAGAGATCTCTGCTTCTCAGAATTACCATTGTGTTTTTTGAATGAGTTTCACAATTTCAAAGCAATTTACAAATGTGTGGAATTGTTGCCGAATGACAATTTACATTTGATTGTCACCCAACTATTTCTTACAAGTGTTGGAGACCTAACACCACCAGAGAGATGCCAATCCCCAACTCATAGTCTGAGTTTAAACTATGGTTTCTAATTCAAGATTTTGTCGAGACAAATAAGAACATTTATGGCATTAAAAGAATATTTCAAATTTTGTAAAACTTTACATTTTTGAGTATATTTGCAGGGTCTTTTGGGGACTTGAAAAGCTCATCTTCTGGGTGGTAACTATTTAGGTAAGCATAAATGGCACTTTAAAAATTATACCTGAGGGTATTTAATGTATTAGTACTATGTATATCCTATGTACTATATGACAATTTAAAAATCCTTGTCCCTTGGATGTGAAAGATTTAATATATAAAGCCAAATATGATCTTCCAGCCTGTTTTTTCTGCCACCCACTGAAGTTGGCAGGCGCTGTGTGGCTGTTGTTAATAGATAAGTTCAGAGAATTCGGTTGGACTTCACAGTTTCATTGGCTGACTTTATCCTTCTTGAGCCTGTCTTTATTCTTGCAAAACTCAGTGAATTATCTTTGTCATCTGCTTCTTTAATATAAAAATGATTTTATTGTCACTAAGGATGTTTTGAGACTGATGGCATGATGAACATTGGCCATCTATAGAGAGGTGAGCACTCACACGAACATCCCTGGACACACACCACGGTGGCATAAGGTCTTGTTGTCTCATTCTTTCCAGGCCCTAGACATTTGCTCCACTCCACTCATGCTAATAAAGCTGAGGAGCTCTGGACTTTCTTTTCTGTCCACATCCCCCTCTGCTGCCTTATCTCTTGTGACTCCCATTTGGACTTCTATGAGATGTCCAGCTGATGGTTCTGTGGCTCTTCAGAAGCAGAACACAGGAGTCAGTCACTATTTACTACCCTAGGCTTGCTTTCTCCAATGTCATTTGGTTCCCTTTTCTTAGTATCAGAGAAGTACTGGAGCACATTGAGAGCAAAACTGCTTGGAAAGGAGAGAAAGCAATGTGTATATATATACACACACAACACACACACACAAACACATACAGACATACCTTTGGTTAATTTAACCTGGTTGAATGCCACTAAACTTCTTGTAATGTTAAATTTAAAATGTCAAACTTTTCTTCTTCTTCCTTGAAAAAACAAACCAGGAAAAGATATTCTTGTAATAATATGTTTTGGATGTTAACTGGTATCCTTTTAAATTATGAGAAGCTAAGTGCTATGAATTTCATTGTGTTGTAAAGAGTATCAAGTTTAGGCTTGTGTTAAAAAATTGAGTTTTAAAATGATCTTAATATATGGAGAAACCAGATAATTTTAGTTTTATAGTTTTAGGCTCAAGGAAATATGTATTTTTAAAGAAAAACCTCGTCTTCCATTTAAATTTATGTCATAAGTACTAGCCAAGTGCTACAACACAGCTAACTGTGTCACAGTAACCCTTCATAAGCCAGATTCATTCAGTTTCTTGTTTAATCACACAGGGACTTAATGGTGAAATCAGGGCTGGGATCCTGATTTTGTGATCCTCAGTCCTGCATTCCTTCTATCCCAGCTTGAGACAAATTCAAGTGTGGCTAAAAGCCTAGAAATCATCCCCAGGGGCCTGGCACCAAATATTTTATTTTTTAGTAAAATTATTTAACCAGTGTAAACCATAACTATATATAAGAAGGGTTCCAGATAGCTAGCTGAGTCACTACAGTACAAAGAAATGACAGGCCAAGAAGACTAAGGTGTTGAATAAACATGTATTGAAGGAGGCAGGAGTGCCCAGCCGTTCTGGCCACTTGTTTTACAGTCACACAGGCTTTGTTTCAGGTCCTAGTTTGCTACTTACAAATTTTGGGACTTGGGCAGGTTATGTAATTTCTCCTAAATTTCAGTTTTTTTCATTTATAAAATAGTAATGACAGTATCTATCTCACTGATTAGTAGGGAAGATTGTATGAGACAATGCTTAGAACTGTGCCTGGCTGTAGTCAACACAATATATGTTGTTGATATTGTTTTAAATTATTATTCTTGTTATTGTTGTATCAATTTGCAATTATGCAGAAACAGGAAATAAATGACACACATAGCTGTATACTAGAAAGCCTTCCTATTAGATATATGTCAGAATTCACGTGCTAAAACTTACACAGTAATAGTTAAGAATATTCATTTTATTTTAATTGAAACTAACATTTAGATAGCATTTACTATGTGCTAGGCATTATTTTTAACCACTTTAAAAATATTATCTTCACAAGCCTAGGAAGTAGGTGCCATTATTTTCTTCATTTCAAGATGAGTAAATTGAGGAAGAGAGATGCTGGTAGGTGAGGTCACTTAGCTGGGAGGCGAAGGAGCCAGAATTCAAAACCAGACAATGTGGTTCGAGTGTCTGTGCGCCTAACCACCACCCTCCCTGCCCCTGTGGAAGGCTTGACTCGCAGTGTGGCATGGCTATGCTTATTTGTGGGCACATGACATTCCAAAACAAGAGGAACTTGGATTTAAAAGCCAACGTAGAAATAGAACCCTAATTACATAAATATCTTTGAAGCACTAGCGTAAACAATCTGCTATTTCAAAAGAAAAATAGAACAGTTGAAAAATTGTGTCTATTGAGAGAGTATAAAATAAATCATTAGACAAAGGAGATTAGAAGTAGTATGTATATGAACATGGTGTATATTATCTGTGTATAAATATTTACAAACTTTTCCTATTTCTTGGCTCCACTCTTGTGTATATGTGTATTTGCAACATCACATGAAAATGTAAGAGGATTTAACATCAGGCAAAAATAGCTTTTGAATGTTTTTACCTTTGGTCTCTTGTATGATTTTAACAAATGCCTAATTTCCATATGCAATTGTTATAGCAATGTGACAATGCAGAACTTTTTCTAAGCTAAAATAAGGGCAAGTATGATGAATACAGAAATGTGTATTTTTGCAGGGATCCTCACATCTAATTAATATGCCACATCTCAGTTGTGTTCTATTTTAATTGTTGCCCATCATGGCTTGGAAATAAAATGTTATTGAGAATGATAATAATGTTCACATTAGTGAAATAATGTGGTTAGACATCCTTTTATATCTTTAAAATTCTTATTTGATATTCCCAGAGTAGAGATCTTTCTCTATCTGAATTAGTAGTTTGTTACTTTATATTATAGTTTGGACTATGTATACATAGCTTAGTTTAAAAAATGAAATCTTTATTATTTAATGAAGTACTGAAAGTTTTCACTGAAGTTTTCCTTGCTAAATATAGCTAGCAATATAGCACTCAGACATATAAGATGGGTAATTGTGCAAATAAATTGTTCCCTTTTTTATTTGTTTGCTGCTAGTAATGAGTAACTGACAGTTCTAGCTAAGAGCTCAACTTTATTGCAGGTCATCCAGTAGCTGTTTACAAAAGTCAATAGTTAGGTTGTAAGAAATAGAAAAAAATGTCAATCTCTGTCAAATGAAGACAGATAGTAATCGTTGTTCACATTTCAAAGTATTTATCACTGCTTACTATCATTTTTCTCTCCGAGCAAATGAATCATTTTAAATAGAAGCAAACTGATCCTCCTATTAGCAAGTCTAAATCAGTAGAACAACATCTATTTTCAGAATCTTTGTAGCTATAAAGGGACCTTTACAGTTTGCAACACTTTGACCCGTCCCAAAATGACAGCATTCTGTTACAAATAGATATTAGGGACTTGGTGCCAGCGTCTCTATTGTGGAACCTTTGGGTTGGGAAAGCCGACAGCTGGGAGGAGTTCAGTGTTTTGAAGGTTATGATCACAGCAATTTCATAAGTGCTTTATTTCAGTTCTCTTCTGGCTGCAGAAGGGACAGGTGCGGTCTGGTTCTGATTTCACTGGTCTTAATTTCTTATCTGACCTGGTAGTCAATCAAGGGCATGAGAGAGGGGGAATGAGGGAGAGGTGGATGCGTGGGAGAGAAGAGCTGGGGACTCTAAGCTGCAGGGGGAGGGGTGCATGCATCTGCGAGGCACTGTGTGTGTCTGTGTGTGTCTGTGTGTGTGTGTGCGTGTGTGTGTGTAGTGCTAAGCATCTGACTTTTCTCATCGAGGAACTGGCAGCTCTGCCTGTCATTCCGCACTTCTGTGTATACGAATGCTGCCCTGTGCAAAATGGATTTCTGAGTGTTAACCATCATGTTCTTCTTTTCCAAAGGGTCTTCTGTAGGATTTCATTTGCAGAGCACAGAGGGCAATATCTAGGGTAATTCCAGGGCTTAGTGGCTGTGATCTTTTGTCAACTCTCCTTGTGAGAGAAATTAAACTTGGTATGGGCACCCACCATTGCAGCAAGTGCAACGCCATTCCTGGCCAATGGGCGGGAAATCATAAACCTGACGAGTATTTATGAGAGGGAAAAATGAGATGTCATAATATGACAAGAATATATTCATTAAATCTTTCAATTTCTCAGAAACAGAGAATTCCCACTTCAGTAAAAGGCTTTGAGCAGATTTATCAAGTCTGACATTCTTACTTTTATGAGATTTGAGTCTCTATGCTAAAATGAGATATATTTAAAAGGAGGACAGCCTTTCCAAAGGAGGAAAACTCCTAAAAAGGTGGAGATAATATAACACTAGCCATTGTTCCTTTGATGGAATACTAGATAATGCCTACAATATGCACCGAAAAAATCAGAGCACAAACATGAGTACCAAAATAAATTATGCCTTTCAAAGTATAGAAGGATATACTAACTTATTTCATGGTTTCTTTAATAGTAGCCTCTTATAATTGTCAAGCACTTTCATTTTATTTCAATACAATCAAACAATAACAGCATGCATTTAAGGTATTTGCCAGAAATATAGCTTTCATAATTGCAGTGTGTCTATAGACTGATTTTACTAGGATGACTGAAGCGGTCTATGCTGGGAAATAAGCACATGGGGCTACACCCATCAATATCACCCCATATATATTTTTTTATCTGTGAGACCTGCACAGGTATATTATGACAGGTACCACTCTGCTCATGATAGGTTTTCGTGAAATATTTTTAGGTTATTTGTGCTGATCTCAGAATTGCCTAAATCTACTTGTCTCATTTTTAGTGGACTGGAAAACTGGACTTTTCTCAGTTTGAATATTTTAGAATCAAACCTAGATTTGGACATCTGCCAGTGTGGAAAGCACATTGGAGCTGCTTTCGAAGCCGTCTTGTTACACCCCTGACCTTGGAGACACAGACTCTTGAGTCTCAGGTTATAACCATGACTGTGATCTGATTGGTATTCATGTTGAGATGCTGTGTGTTCTCTAAGAAGGCTGTGCATATCTTTAGGAAAGTGTAAGTGGTTGGTATGCCTGAGGGAGGGAGACAAATTTGTGGCTTTTAATCTAGATTCGGATCAAAGGGGGGAACTTCAGTGGGCAAAATTTAGCATTAATTCCATATTCTGGATCACTCATAATATCCTCCTAATGTTTGGTGATTAGGGTTATTACAGTATGCCGAGCCCTAAGAGTACATCTTAGAATGGAAATACCTATAATTAATATTGTGTATAATATTTAAAAGATGTTAACTATACTACACAAAATCTTGTTAATGTAACTTAAGTAGGGCTCTTTCTTTATAGCCTCAAAAGAGAAAATGTTACCCCTAAGAATGAGGACACAGAGATAGGGGCTATTTGCAGCCAGAATCCTCTAATGTAAATAAAACATAAACTTTTTATTATCTATAAAGTCAGGGGCTATTTGCAGCCAGAATACGCTAACGTAAACCAAAAAAGTGGTTACCTCAGATCACAATGAAAATGTCTATGATAAGAGGACAGAGTACAACAATAAAACACGCTTTCTTTAAAAAATTAATTTAGAAAAGTTTGTTTCATGTGCACACTTTTTTTTTAAAAAAAGTATAAGCTTCTGGTGAGCAATGGATAGAGTTTCTCTTTCTTTGGGAGTCAGCCCAGTGCATGGTAGACCCTCTGTACACGCGGCAGGGAACGTGTCTTCCTCTTCTTGGCATCCTTCTTACATGTGACAGCCATTAATACACATAGGAAGGGTTAAAGACATATTTCCTGCAGGGAGAGTTGTTTGACATGAAAGGGAAACCTTTATTTTAATATTAGGTTTATGCAAAATTAATTGTGGTTTTTGCTATTAAAAGTCATGGCAAAAACCGCAATTACTTTTGCACCAACCTAATAGTTGCCTATTCACCGTGAAATACTGCCAAATCTTTTTTTCACATTTCAATTTTACTTCATTTTTTAGTATTAATATTATTAAGGATTGCTTATAGGTCTCTATTCTAGACTAAAATCTTTCCTTTTATATAAAGGGCCAAGATCACATATTCAGTTTTATATTCCATCCCTAATTTTTTTTTGCACTGGCTTCTTTCATTTGCCACCTGTGTGACCTTAGACGAATTACTTAGCGTCTCTGTGCCTCAGGTTCTTTATCAGTAAAATAGAAATGATAATAATACACAGCAGGGTTCTGATGAGAATCATAGTTAATTTGGTGCTTATATATAGTGAGCACTCAATAAATATCAATTATAGTTTTATAGTAATATTAATGTCTTCATAATTGACTGGCACAGTAGCTGGCACCAAATGGGCATCTGTAACTTATTTTATATGTTTAAATGACATTAAGGCATGAATCACAGTAATCACTAATGAAAAGATATTTTTCTGTAACACAAAGAGACAATTTGCAGCTGCAAAATTATAGACATTTCACTTTTTTCCTACAGCCTGTTTCCTGCTTGTTGAAAATAGCAAAGGAGAATGTCTCTTTCATTTTTAAAGTGCTGTAATCTCTGTGGTAATAAAATAATAAAACACAATAGTATCTAATTTTATTCTAGCAAAAACATGCGAGATCTGGGTATAATAAAGTCCATTTATATTTAGTTATAGTTTACAAATATTATTGGTTCCCCATTGCCTACATTAAATTAGCATATACAATAAGTTAACTACATTCTGGTAGTCACTGTTACTAAAAACAAAACATTTTTTTTTCTGAACTAAAGTAGCCCCAAGTTATGTATGTGTAGGCAAGGCACAGTTAGGAAGAAGGAAGTAGTTTGTTTACCCTTAGCACTTTGTGGTAGTCCTGGCAGCTGTTCATGCCATGTGTCACCTTCTCTGGCGAGATGCAGCATCTGTCTCATTTAATTAGCAGGACAGTCTGTTACATATGTGGTTTGGAAAAATGAAAGATTTCCCAAGAGCTTTCTGTCTATGGTATTTTGGAATGTTGTTATTTGTGGATGGATCTGATAACTTGTCATTCTCTTTGTGTTCTCTGGCATGGTTCTCGTGTAGACAAAGAACTTTAATTCCATAGAATGTCTGAATACCACGGAACAACTCGACTCTGATAACATTCTGGCAGATAAAGACGATCAAGGGACACAGACCAACCTCCTGCTTTCCTAAATTAGCTGTACATTCCAAAGAAGCATGTTCTATGACCCCTTTCATGTAAAAAGTTTTCTATTTTATATTTGAATCTTCTTCATTTTTAGTTGCATTCCTCCCTGAGTATTTTCTGTTTGGTTGGTGTATTAGTCCGTTTACACGCTGCTGATAAAGACATACCAGAGACTGGATAATTTATAAAGAAAAAGTTTAATGTACTCACAGTTCCACGTGGCTGGGGAGGCCTCACAATCATGGCCAAAAGGCATGTCTTACATGGCAGCAGGCAAGAGAGAAAATGAGAGCCAAGCAAAAGGGGAAACCCCTTATAAAACCATCAGCTCTCATGAGACTTATTCACTACCACCAGAACAGTATGGGGGAAAACACCCCCATGATTCAATTACCTCCCACCAGATCCCTCCCACAACACATAGGAATGATGGGAGCTACAATTCAAGATGAGATTTGGGTGAGGACACAGCCAGAACATATCAGTTGGTATTTATTTTCTCTTAACATGTTTTATTAGGAACCTGTTATATGCTATATTGTCTCTCTAGCTATCATCCCTTTGTTTGGTGAAGCTGAGAAGCACGCTGAACTCTGGAAAATTTGGTGCCATAAAGTGAATATGGAAAAAAATCTAAAAATTCAAAGCAGCTTTCCAGAAAAATCATCTCTATACACGATACACTTTTTTTTTTTTTTTTTGACAGAGTCTCTCTCTGTCACCCAGTCTGTAGTACAGTGGTGTGATCTTGGCTCACTGCAACCTCCTCTTCCTGGGTTCTAGTTTCTTGTGCCTCAGCCTCCGAAATAGCTGGGATTACAGGCCAGTGCCACCACACCCAGCTAATTTTGAGATGGGGTTTCACTGTGTTGGCCAGGCTGGTCTTGAACTACTGTCCCCAAGTGATCCGCTTGCCTTGTCCTCCCAAAGTGCTGGGATTACAGACATGAGCCACTGCACCCAGCCTCTTTACATTTTTTGTTATGAAAAATTCAATCATAAACATGTAGACAGAATAGTATAACGAATCATCATATACCCATCACTGATCTCCAAGGGAGTTTCAACTCATAGCTAATTTTGTATCGTTTATTACTCTCTCTCTTACTAACATTATTCTGAAGCAATTTCAGACGTTTCATTTTATTTGTAAATACTTTAACAACTATCCCTGAAGATTTAAAAAACATAGCCACAATATCAATATCATACCTAAGATATTAGAAAATGTTAGCAGTAATATTACCTTAGTAGCATTAAATATAGGCATTGTTTACATTTCCAATTGTCTCATAAAAATCATAATTTTTTTTAGCAGTTTGTTTTTTGCATTGGCATCAAAAACTCTCCAGGCATCACAACTGGTTAATATGTCCATAAGACTCTTTTAATCAATAGACTTTCCCTTCTTTCTCTTTCTCTTTTTTCCCCCTGTAGTTTCTTTGTTCAAGAAACGACATATTTTTCCTACAGGGTTACCTACAGTCTGAACTTTGCTGATTATATCCTTGTTGTGTTTTTAAACATGTTCTTGTGTCCTATGCACTTTGAAAAATTGAAAGTTGAGTTGGATTCAGGTTATTTTTCTTGGCAATATCATTTCACTTGTTTTATATTCTGATTTATAAACATAGTGTGCCAATGTAGTTTCTTAAGTGGACCATTTAGGATGTTTTTAAAATGTTCAACTCCTTTTTATCTGATCAGTGGTTCTCCAAGCCTGGTCCCTGGACCAGACTCATAAGCATCACCTGGGAGCTCTTAGTGATGTAAATTCCTAGGCCCCACCCCAGATTAACTAAACCAGAAACTTTGGGAGTGGGGGCTAGCAATCTTTTAACAAGCTGTCCAGCTGATTCCAGTGCAAGTTATAATTTGAAAAATCACTATTATAGATCATTAGTAGTCATTGGCCATTTGTATTTTTCAAAATTCAAAACTTGTTGGTACTCACAAAGAAGAAATTGTGTAAATTAGTGTTTGCACGTTTAACATCTTGACAGATAAGTTCTGTCTTTTCTAACTCTTCTTCTAACCCAATGTATGGCCCCAGTTCTTGTGTCAGTCATCTCAGTAAAAGGAAGATGGGAAATCTAGTAAACAATTAGTATCATTAATTTGTCAGGATTCTGTTCTATTTGCTAGCACCCTATTTAATCTGACTGCTGGTGTTAACTATTCTGCTGCTCCATGTTACTATGCCATGACCTACTTATCATATAATTTCTTATTATTTTTGGAGCAAACCCAAGATCCTTACCCTGTACTTCAAAGACCTACACCTTTGTGCCTCATTTCCATCTGATGCTAACATGTAACAATTTAACCTTTTTGTTCTCCTTACCTTGTCTTGGCTTTCCTTTAGAAGAGTTCCCTTTTCATAAAAAGTTTTTATTATTGGAATACCTAAGCATTTATATTATATAATAATATCCTAGACCCTGTCTTTTGAAGAGTTTTCCTAGATTTAAACATACAATCTGAATATGGAACTCATTCTTGGCTTGTCTAGTATTTTTCAGCAGCCTCATACTCCTAGACATATATCGGTGGCATTGCATCCCTTTATGGGCAAGAGGCAGTAGTAGAGTGTAGGAGTTAAAAGCATGGACCCTGGGATTTGAATCTTCTGCCTGCTACTTACTATCTATTTGCATTAATTTCTTCATCTGCAGCATGAGGAAAATAATAGTATGAAACCCATCATGTTGTTGTGAGCATTAAATAAATTATTATATGTAATATGCTTTGAGGAAAGCCTAGCACATGGTTATCAATTATTCTCTTAATATTTTATTTGATCATATACATTTTGGTTTATGGGTTTCCATGACTATTGTTCACCCTAGGAAATTATTGTAGGTTAGGAATTATGCTAATAGGTTTCTATTAACATAATATTTAATTCAGTGCCACCTGCACTCAAGTGCTTTTTGAATTTAGTGCCATTCAAAATGCAAGCCCTTGAAATGAAATCTTAGAAAAAGGTGGGTGTAGGGGGGAGAATTTAATTCAGAGTAACGTACCCGACCTAAATAAAAACTTCTTAATCATGTATCAAAGGAAAAGAAAACCTTGTATCTAGCATTAATTATATTAATATAATACAATATAGTAGAGTTTTACTAGCCTCTCCCTTATGCACTGTGAAAACAGGTAGTTTGCAAAATGCACCTTTATTCTGCAGTAAGGCTGCTTTGGGTAACAGGGAATCAGTGACCTGTTCTATCATCACTTGCAAATCATAACAATTAATTGTGTTGAAAGGTCTCAAAGTCTAACTAGTAGTTAACAAAGAAAGCTTGAAAACTGAGACAAAGTGTTAATGGTCATGTGAAGGTAAATTTAACGGCCATATTGACAGTTACAATTATTACTTCTGGCAACAAGGTATTAGCAGGCTAAATACTGTAATGAGTTTCAGTACTTGCTTTTTACTACACTATGAGAAAAACTAATTATGAAATACATATAATTTATGATGTATATAATTTATTATTATTCATATGGCTCTGATATTGGTCAGTATTAAATTGCTTTGTCAAACATTAAAGCCAATAGACTAATGCTCAGTTTGGCACTATCATAATTTACAACTATTTAATACTATTAATTTTTTGTGGGGGGACAGGGTCTTGCTCTGCTGTCGAGGCTGGCGCAATCTTGGGTCACTGCAGCCTTGACCTCCCAGGCTCAACTGATCCTCCCACTTCAGCCTCCCAAGTAGCTGGGACCATACACGTGTGCCACCATGCCTGGCTAATTTTTGTATTTTTTTGTAGAAAGTGGGTCTCACTTTGTTGTCCAGCCCGATCTCCAACTCCTGGGCTCAAGCGATTCACCCACCTCAGCCTCCCAAAGTGTTGGGATTACAGGTGTGAGCCACAGCACCCGGCCTTTAATTCCTTTTTAATATTCAGATCAAATACTTTTCTTTCTTGTTTAAAAAATAAATTCAGATCAAATGTTGTTGTTGCTGTTATTTTCATATTCTGAATGTGTGGCACTCTTGACTCCTTGAATGCTGTGTGTGCATATAGGTAGATAATTTATGGAGCCGCTGAGGGGATTCCCTCTCATTCTTTCCTGACCCCAAGTCAGGAACTGACTTCCCATGTGGGAGATGAGATTTAGTACCCAGTACTTCAGTCGAAAGCCCATAGGCAGATGTTATGGCTCTATTTGCCTCCCAAAGTTTCCTTCAATGAAAGGACTCAAAGGGGGCACAAGTTAGTTTTCTTCTTAGTGGCCCAAAAAGGTGTGGCGAGGAAAAGAGTATTGCTGAAATATCTGCTTTGAAATTAAAGAAAATAAGACATTTCTTTAGATTAGCTTAGAATAATGAGATGTGAGAAGGAAAGTTTAAGGTATATAAAATGGGGCAATTTATAATTTGTCATAAAGTTGTTATAAGGATGGAATGTGTTATTATTATAAAGAGCTTAGAATAGTTCCTGGCAGAGAGTGATTTTTATTTAAGGGTTAGATATATAGTTAGTATAATCTTTTGGCTACTTTTATTATCAATTGATTATGAGATTGATCAGAAAAGACATTTGGAGATAGAGTGGGGCTGGCAAATGTGATCCCTTTTCCCCTTTTAGACTCTAATTTCTCTTTGCCCCTCTTCTTTTTAATCCTTCAATCTCTCTCTCAGACCTATGACTTGATGCCTGTAGACCCTAGGTAGTGAGATCTGTGTGCCTCTGAGGACTATGATGCAGCACTCCAACAGAAATAGCAGAATTCTGAATAAGTATTCAGTCAGCACGTTACTGTACTAAATGCTTTAGGCAACTGTTACACAATGGCAAGCATTTGTGTATCTAAACATTTCTAAACATATAAAAGGTAAAATATGGTATAAAAGACAAAAAATGGTAAACCTGTATAGGGCACTTACCATGCATGGAGCTTGTAGGACTGGAAGTTGCTCTGGGTGAATCAGTGAGTGAGTGGTGAGTGAAGGTGAAGGCCTAGGACATTACTGTCCACTACTGTGGATTTTATAAACACAGTGAACTAGGCTACACTAAATTAAAAAAAAATCTTCTTTCTTAAATAATAAATTAACTTTAGCTTACCATGGCTTTTTTACTTTATAAACTTGTATTTTTTTACTTTTTGACTCTTTCTGTAATAACATTTAGTTTAAAATATAAACACATTGTATCGCTGTACAAAAATGTTTTCTTTCTTTATATTCTTATTCTATAAGCTTTTTTCTATTTCAAAGATCATATATATATATATATATTTTACTTTTTCAACTTTCTTGTTAAAAACTAAGACAGAAACATACACATAGCCTAGGCCTACACAGGGTCAGGATCATCAGTATCACTGCCTTCCATCTCCACCTCTTGTCCCAGTAGAAGCTCTATTAAGAGTGGAAAACTGGAAATAGTAACACAAATGGAGCTGTAATCTGCTATAACAATGCCTTCTTCTGGATACCTCCTGAAGGACCTGCCTGAGGCTGTTTTATAGTTAACTTTTTTTTTATAAGTTGAGGCAGTATACCCTAAAATAGCAATAAAAGTTTACTATAGTAAATATATAAGCCAGTAACATATTCGTCATTATCAAGTGTTATGTATTGTGGATAATTGTATGTGCTGTAATATTATATGACTGGCAGCACTGTAGGTTTATTTACACCAACATCACCAAAAACGCATGAGTAATGCATTTGCTATTACATTATGATGGCTACGACGCCATTAGGTGATAGGAATTTTTCAGCTCCATTTTCTTCTTATGGGACAACTGTCACATTTGTGGTCTGTCGTTGACTGGAACTTTTTCGTGTGGTTCATGACTATATGATCAATGCAGAAGTTATACCATAGATTAAAAATAGAAATGAAATCTCCTTGATATATGAGTACATAATACATATATATGTATATACACATACATGCACATGCACACATACATACATATGTTCATAAAGTATGTAGAAAGAGATCTTGAGTTGGAAATAAGCCATCGTTCAGGCAGGTGGCCATGGGTTAAAGCTGTGAATTTACAAAATGGGGAAAAGGGAATCAGAGTAAAAAGCTATGCTATTACTCCATATTTAATTTTAATTGTGATGGGTATAGAAGCCCTTTGGCATGAAAGGGAAAATGGTATATATTTTAAATTTTCATGCCAATGATAAATATTTCACATGCATTAAAACCTGTAAAATATATTGTATTTACAGGAGCAAGTCACATTCTAGGGGGAAATTGCCTTTCCTGCAGTTGTATTTTTACATTACCCCAAATACCTGTGAGAACCAATTAGTCTCCACAACTTGCCATGTTCCTGTTAAGTGAACCTGGCACAGGAACATCCAGCTAATCCTTTGGCAGCCTTGTGTGAAGTACTTAGGAAGCCTGGTGTGTCCTTCCTCCAACCTTACAGCATGGGAGCCAACTCTGGCCACTGTTGGCCTGTTATTGTGCAGTGGTGAATTTCTGACACAAAATGAGTTGTGGAGATTACTGAGGAAGGAACGCAAAGTGATTATGTGGTCTCTCTTTTGGGCCTGATCTTTAGACCTTCAGAAAAATTGGCCTCAACCTTACAAAGATATGGACAAGGAAGCCATTCCAAACACGAAGTACTCCATTGTATAAAGTACAAAAATGAGTAATACCATCATTAAGAATAAAATATTCTCAAACAAGAGCCTACTGATTAAGAATGGAAAACTGGGCTGGGCGCAGTGGCTCATGCCTGTAATCCCAGCACTTTGGGAGTCTGAGGTGGGTGGACTGCTTGAGGTCAGGAGTTCAAGAGCAGCCTGATCAACATGGTGAACCCCCGTCTCCACTAAAAATACAAAAATTAGCTGGGCATGGTGGTGGGTGCCTGTAATCCCAGCTACTCTGGAGGCTGAGGCAGGAGAATCACTTAAACCCGGGAGGCAGAGGTTGCAGTGAGCCCCTATCGCACCATTGCACTCCAGGCTGGGCGACAGAGCAAGACTCTGTTTCAAAAAAAAAAAAAAAAAGGGAAAACTGGAAACAAACTGCCTGGCCTGAATCTTGGTTTCTCAGCTTACTAGCTGTGTGACTGGGCAAGTTATGTAACATCTCTGTTCCTTAGTTTCCTTATCTGGAAAATATACCTACCAGATGAGGTTGTTGTGGGATTAGACTAAGATAATGTTGGTCATGCATGTAAGCAGAGCCTGTCACTTACGTAAGTATCAACCAAAAACCTTTCCAAGCAAACAAACAAGGAAACAAAACTTCTGTACAAATCTTATTTTAAAAAGTTATAAAGTTATAGTTATTCTTAATTAATGGTTGAATGAGTAGAATTCAGATCTGTTATTATTTTTAAAGAATGTAGACTTGAAGTGTAGAAAAGGATTATTTTAAAATATAACTTTTCAGTTTTGGTGTTCTGTTTCACAGTAGAGTGACTACAGCAAATGCCAATGTATTGTATATTTCAAGACAGCTAGAAGAGAAGATTTTGAATGTTGCCACCACAAAGAAATGCTAAGTAGTTAAAGTGATAGCTATAATTACTCCAATTTGACCATTATACTATAGATACATGTATTGAAACATTATACCCAATAAATATGTACAGTTATTATATGCCATTATAAATAAAAATAAGTGAAGAGTTCAAAAAAAACCTTTTCAAAGCTTTGAAAATTTTTTCTGAAAGATCGAGTTGATCATTATTTTGAAGAGAAGAAAATGTTTAACATTTTACTCAGTAATTTTATGGACAGTAAACCAAATGGGCAGTCCTTTGGTTCACTTCTCTCTGTGCCCAGAAATACCTGGGTTGCCTTCATATGGCCTCAGGTTGTAGAGTTGTGAGGCACCTGACTGGGGTTGCATGGGATGTGGCAATCCTTATATTTAATATTTCATATTTTTAAGAGAATGAGAGTGGTGCAGGCGGGGTAAAGGGTTCTCTCAAGAAGGATGGGGCAAATACAACTGCTTCTGTCCTAACTGGGAGGAAAAGCAGACTGACAAAGTCAGAAAGCTTTGAGTTTCAGGTCAGCCTTCCCACTGACTCCCATTCAAACCTTGATCAAGTAATTTGACATTTCCTACCTCAGTTTCCTCATCTGTAAAATGGTGATAATAATAGCACTCACCTCAGAAGGCTGTTGTGAGGGTTAAAGAAGATAATGAATGTACAGAACTCAGCATACTGCTTGGCTCATATGGAAGCCCTTAATACATGTTAGCTAATAAATCCTACCTTTGCTCCTTGCTTCAGTGCTGGAAGTGTAGAAGCTGACAACTGGTCCCTTCTTTATTTAGGTTCATCCCTAAATAAAGGAAAAACACCATGTTGAGTAAATTTGGAAGAGACGGTATTCCCTGAGACTAGCAGAAGTCATAGCTATTAAATGTGTAAAACTGACTTTGTTGCATAGAAATCCTTTGATAAGTAACAGATGAAACTGTGATAAATGATATATTAATAAGTAAAAATTCACTTTTATTAGGCTTGCCAGATAAAATACAAGACACTGAGTTATATTTAACTTTTGGATAAGCAATAGCTAATTTTTTTGTTGTAAGTACATCCCAAATGTTGCATGGGATACATGTATGCTAAAATTTATTCATTTTTATCTGAACTTCAGATTTAACTGGGGATCCTATATTTTTATTTGCTAAATTTGGAAACTATAACCTTTAAATATCACTCTTTTCTGATCTGGTATTTTAGTTTTATACTTTTCCTCATAGATTTTTTTTTTCTCATAACTGGTAATTTATCAACATTTCCTGTCACAATAAAGCTAAATTGTACATAAAATATTAACATAACTTGGAACTTTATGAGATGAGAAAATTTATGAGATGTAAATTAAAAGCAACATTAAATAAACTCAAGGATTAATTATATGCATAATAACATACCTTTTCATATTTCTGGTAAACTTGATACAAATCTGATCATAATAGTACAAGCAGTCAGTAATAAACATAAGGAATAAATAAAAATGTAGAAGAAACATGAACTGTTGCTACACATGATAGTTTTGACAGATTAAATGCACAAAACCCCAAAATATAAATTTTTCTAGTTTCACGTTTTCTCTTAGTGTTATTTATATCTTTATTTCTAAAGGTATACTTGTAATATACTTATTAACATTAGTCTATTTAAGAATCTCTATTATTATTTTTGACTTTCAAATAGTATCTGAAATTTACCCTGAGATTTATCTGAGATTTACAAGCAAATCTCAAGGTTAAAAAAAATCATTGAGTTAGGCAGTTTTAGAATTGTTATTTTGAAATCAACATGTTATAATGTTTTAAAGTAGGATATATGTATATACAAACTTACATAAACCTGTATGTCTTCATTTTTATTTGTAAAATCTTTATGATTTTACAGCTTTAAAAGCAATAAAGTACTAATATGATGTATTAATATATTCCCTTGAAAATACAGATTAATCAGGATTCCTGTTCTTAGATGGTTAAATCTTAAGTTTATCTGAAACAAAAGTTTTGAGTCTACAGAAACTTATTGAAAATAGATAATTAGATGTTCAAAAAGTTATGATTTGTTGTAGAAATGCAACTAGTAATTTAAAAACTACTCATAATTGTTTTAGATAATTGTTGCAGACAGAATATTGATGAAAAAACACTTACATAACTGAGGGAAGCAAATCATATGATAACATCCCTTCAGCTTAAATCTATTGAATTTGTTTGGCTTAAAATAACATTAAAAGTAATGTGTTTTAAAAATGCTACGATTTTTGGTAATCCATTCCATTTGGATTTTTGCCTTTTCTTTATTTTGAAGTCTAAACGGATCTACCGAAATATTTAACTGGCTTTGTTTGTCTTCCAAGGATAAAGGTTCTTTAGGGGACTATGCCACCCAATTGCTCTATTGCCCTTTTAATTTCCTTTTACTTTTTCAGAACTTCTCTACTACCCTTAGGAAGCATAGTAATTAAATTAGGGTAAAACCAAATAGTTCTCATATAAGGACAAAGGTAAGTGTTTCTTTCACATGCCTGATAAATTGCTCTATTGGTTTTCCTGAATGTGAAAAATTATTTGATCTAAGGGTGTTACCATTTTTGTGATGACATTATGTGACTGTTGCCATTATAAAACATCAAACTGTTGCAGTAACACTAGAGTTTTTTTGTTTGTTTGTTTGTTTGTTTGTTTTTTGAGACGGAGTCTCTCTCTGTCGCCCAGGCTGGAGTGCAGTGGCGCGATCTCGGCTCACTGCAAGCTCCGCCTCCTGGGTTCATGCCATTCTCCTGCCTCAGCCTCCCGAGTAGCTGGGATTACAGGCGCCCGTCACCACGCCCGGCTAATTTTTTGTATTTTTAGTAGAGATGGGGTTTCACCATGTTAGCCAGGATGGTCTCGATCTCCTGACCTTGTGATCCACCCGCCTTGGCTTCCCAAAGTGCTGGGATTACAGGTGGGAGCCACTGCGCCCGGCCTTGAGTTCTTATATATTCCTACATTAAACTCTATGGAAAAGATAATGAGTTGTACTCAAAATAAATTTCAGCACTGGGTTCTTAGATCGCAATAATATTGTGCACTTTATTCTTGTAACAGTAAATAGTATTGAGTATTTTTATGTTTCCATACAACTGTAATTCATTTCCCCATCAATTCACTGTTAATCTCCATTGTAAAGTTTTTTTTATAAAGTTCCTGTTTTCATGGCATAGATAATTTTTTTATAACCAACTAAGAAAAATATAAGTTCAAAATTAATTGTACCTTAAAAAAACCAACTTCAATGTTAAAGTATCATTTATATATTAGGAAATTTAAAGCAGCTGTAATTTTTTTTAAAAAGCAAATATAATCTCAAACTATTACTTGTAACATGTTCACTATGAAGGATAGAAAATATTTACAAACAAATGTCCTTTAAAAGAATTATACCATTATTAATGGCCAGTTAAAATTTTAACTTTTTAAAAATAATAACCCCTTTTTAACTGGAGCAGATGACTAGCATTGTGATGAATGTCTTATTTCAAGATTGCATATAAGTAAAATCATTAAGAGATGAGGGAAAGGGTGAAGTAAAACCTCATTAATGTGCAGAAGAATGCTGGTGGTTCTGGGATTTCTTCCAAGCCTTTTTGGCATACTTCACTTCCCAAGAGAGTGACAACTTCTTGAGAACTGGCTTTTTATTATCCTATTGTGTTATAACTAGATGGCTGTAGAGGTAAGAAAGATCATTTATTCAATAGAATGGCCTGTTTTGGGCTGTAAGTAAATAAACTGGCTTACAGGAAAATGTCATAATGCTTTCTTGTTATATAAAATTATGAGTGTAAGCTTTATAATAGTAGAGAGATAAGTCTGTTTTGTTTACTGTAGTATCTGCAGTGCCTTGTAACAGGGCCCAGAACAGAGGAGGTGCCCAATAAATGTTTGCTGAAGGAAGAAATGGGGACTTGATTGCACCAAACTGGAAGTGTGGAGAGTTTCACTTCATTTGGGAATCCTTGGAGTTGGCCACACCTAGCATATGGACGTCTGGGGGTCTGCCTCTGGCTTTTCAACCCCAGGGCTAGTCCCCCAGTTCGCTAGTGCTAGCCCTTTGCTTGCCTAAGATTCTTATCTGCTGCTGTGAGATGATGATAGAGAAATAATACTGGTTTTTGTAATGCTTTGCAGTTCATAAAGCACAGACTCTGTATTTGTACTAGGATCTAATTCTTGAAAGTGAGACATCTGTTTTCCTTTGCCTGCCCTGGCTTTGTAAATTGTTGGAATCCATAACTCCTTAAAATTAGGGAAAAGGTCTACAATTACTGAATAAGAAAAGTGACAGTCTTTAAGCTTAGAACTAGTTCAAACAAGACAATTTCATAGTCCTGAAGGTAGCTGTGGTTGTAGGTCTTGCATAGCAATTTCAAATAAAATGACATCAAAGGATCACTAAAGAACCACAGCATTTGTTTTAAAGAATATATATTAAGCGCTAATGCTAGGTCCTCTCTATTCCAGAATCTCACACTCTAGTGGAGGTGGCGGACACATGCAGAAGAGGCTAAAACACTATTGAAGTAGGTGCTAGTAGTTTAAAAATGTCAAGGAGGAAGTAATTAACTAGGTTTAGAAATATTGGAGATGGCTACACAGAAGATTTGGTGGTTGAACAAACCTTTGACAGAGAAGTAGAAATTTGTCAATTGGGCTCCAAGGCTTTGGGGGAATGGAGTAAAAAAGAACTTTGCAGGCAAGAGTAATGAAATGGATGCTTGAAATACAGTGTTTTTCTGGGAAACTGTAAATTTTTCTGACATGGCTGGAATATAGATTGCGTGAGAGAGTGATAGGTAGGAAAATTCACATAGGCATTTAAGAGGACCGCTTATACCATACAAACAAAAAGTGATGGGGGAACCCTGATGATTTTTGAATAGCAAAGTGACATAATCATATTTGCAATTCAGACCCAAACTCTGGTGGTTTTGCCAGAGTTAAAGTAAGGCAGGGGGAGAGACTGGACACAAGCCTTGGAGGTTTTCTTCTTCTTTTTCTTTTTCTTTTTTCTTTTTTTTAAAGCGATCTAAAAAAATCCTGACTAAACTTCCAATAATAAAAATATTAGTAACAATAAACAGAATTCAAATTCCAGGTAGTGCTTTAGACTTTCAATATGTTTAATTTCACTAATCCCTGCATCAACCCCTTGACTCACTATTACTATCCCCAGTTGATAAATGAGTACATTTAGGGTTGCAGAAGTGAAAGAACTTGCCCTAGGTCACCAGGCAAGTAAAAAAAACATGAGCCTAAGCGGTTTCATTCCAGAGCCTGAACCCTTGTCCCTGCCTAAGGGTGCACATAGGCCTTTTAATGCCAATATCCCAAAATTTATTGTTGTTGTTTCTACCTGCTGTACGAGGATGTTAAGCCCTTCCCCTACATCTCACTTGGTTATTTCTGGTCCTCTCCAGAAACTGTGTCATGTGAAACCCAGAACTCCTTCTTATGTTCTTCTGCTCTGGAGGTGCATACCCAGGTCACAGATAGGCCTAGACATGTCTACAGCCTAGATTAGTTCTAGTTGTAATTACTGTCATGCTATTACATACCAACTCCCTGGGGAACCTGTCAGCTTTTGAACAGCTATTCTGGCCTGCCTGCTCAAACTATCATATTTTCTATGTTTAGCTATATTAAGATGTAGTTATTAGTTTATAGATTTAAAAAAAAGGGATTGAAATCATTCTCTCCCTACCTTCCTTCCACTGCCTTCCTATCTTCTCACCATTATGGAAAAAAGAAATAAAAAAAGGGGATTCCCAGTTAAAACCACAGAAGAAAGTATTAGGAAGAATTATGGAACATTTTTTTTCCTAATTTGAAAATTCAAATCTTAGAAAAGGCAACCAGAACAAGTTACCCTTTGTTTTATCTCAGACCAAGAGCAGAAATAAATTCCAAATTCTGATCATACCTCAGATCTCAGGCATAACATTATTTCATCAGAAAAGCCAAACTAGGTCAGTACTTTGGGTTTTAGCTCTCATTTTATCTTTATGGAACTCATCTGCCTAAAATTAAAGATTTAATTGACTCAAATGTGGATTGATGCTTATCACTTCTGATCAAATGGTAGTTTTTTAAGGGCAAAAACATTTTTTGTTTTAGACACAACTATAATATAAGTGCTGAGAACAGTGCCTTACTTCTGACAGACTTTCAACAAATATTTAAGGCATACAAGGAAATGAATGATGGAATAAACTGATAGTATTATCTGCCCTTCACAGACAGCCCTACTCATAGGAATGAGTAGGAATAAGGAGGATCTCTGGCAGACTGATACAGTTTGGCTATTTATCCCTGCCCAAATCTCATGTCGAAATGTAATCCCCAGTGCTGGAAGTGGGGTCTGGTGGGAGATGCTTGGATTATGGGGGCGGATTCCTCATGTTTTGGTGCTGTCTTCATGATAGTGAGTGAGCCAATTAAACTTTTCTGTATAAATTACCCAGCCTCAGATGTTTCTTTATAGTAATGCAAGATTGGCCTAATACATATACCATTTCAGAAGGAAGGGGCTTATTCTCTGAAAGGAATGGGCTATATCAAGGTGTGATTATGTATCATGATAGAATGTCCCCTGACCTCTTCAGCATTTTAAAAAATTAAACCATCATATATAACCTGAAATAAGGCTTAAGTTAATGTTTAAGTCTTTTCTAGTTTCCTAGGATCAATAGTGGCAGCAGAGAAAAGGATGTCTTTCATTTGAAAGGAAGCCTCTATTAATGTGATTCTTTGTTTAATTGTTTCTAAAAGATAATTTCAACAAGTTCTGCACCAATTGCTTGCTTGTGAGTGATTTGTAGAAAGAAGGCTTGCACCTTATCCTTAGTGATAACTCCAAATAGCTTTCTAATACCCAGACTCTCACAGTTCTTAAAGAGCACAGTCCAGATTTTACAGCTGCACAATTTGAAGATCCTTTAAATAACTGCATACGGTTTAAATATTATTTCTGGCATATCTGATGATTCGTATCCCTGCTCTGAATCACCAATAGACTCATTTGGCAGAACTGTAGATTTTAAAAGCAAAACCCTCCAGAGTCTGTAGGACCTGTGACTTTGCTCTAAAGGCATTTAAAATTCTCTGTTCTTTTTTGTGGTGGAGATAAAAATCTTTTTGAATTAAATAAGCACACATTCTGGAAAACAGTATTGAAGAAATGATTTGTGTCTAGGCTCTGAACTATTTAAATATGAGTAGATGTGGTTACTGCTCTCAAGGTTATTGTCCTCTGTATATTTCAGCCTGAAATGTATTAAGAGAAGTACCTTCTGCCATATTTACTCTCATGTTCTTTGGTAGCTCTTTGTTGTCCTGGTACAACTCCTGATATTTAAGAAGCCATGAAACACTTAGCACACTTGGCAGGAGACCTAAAATAATATTATGGACACTTAGAGTAGAACCTCAAGAACCAATTTGTCTAAGGTTTCCTGAAAGGTCAAAAGGAAATCTAGAAGGAGAATGAAAGACATCTCTATTTGCATATCATCGTTACAATTGTACATAAAAAGTATTCTTCATGTTTCTTCTGATTGATCAAGCTTCAGAAACATACTCCCACCCACATATGCACATATACATAATCTTTATTTCACACGTCTATGAGGATGGTGCAGTGTCTTTTCATTTCATTAAGTTATTAGTCCTTCTACATGGAGTGGGTAGAGTCACAGAAAGGAAGTGAAACTGAAATCAATCCATTTGGTTTCTATTTTATTCTTAGTTTAATGAATACTTTCACCCTTACCCTAATTTCATCATCATTCTTTTCTATCTGAGGAAAGGAGCCACAGAGATTATAATTTAACTTTGATTCCACCTGGGGCAAAACAATATTTTCTTTCATGTCTCCCTTCTCTTAGGGACACAGCAGAAAATGAGGATTGTTGTTCAAAGAACATAACCATTGGCCTAGTAAAGTTAATGGTACAACTAGGGTTTTCCAGAGTCACTGAAAGGGAAATGCTGCTGACAAGCACACTAATATTGGAAACAGTAGCTCCAGAGTAATAGCTACCTCCTGTTTTGTTGTGTTGGATCAAAAGGGCATGATATTGATGCTGTTTGTAAAAGAAGTTGCCTTTGTCTTTGCTGGGACTGTTCCAAGAGCAAAGAGAGAATGAAAGCACTAAAAGGAAGTGACAGTGATGACTACAGACTCAACTGGCACAACTTCAAAACACTTCAGAGGATAGTGTTCCAAAGAGATATTGCAGTGAATCTCCAGTAAGTGCTATACAAATAGATTTAGTGCTGCTCTACAGGAGGTAAAATAAGTCAGGGGAATAGAAAATGAATAAAAACACTAAAACCTCTTGTCAATAAGCTATTGCATGACACAACTAAACTACAGAATTGTAAGGCAACAGTATCCTCCAAATATGAAAATATCTCTGGGAGAGATCAGAGAGGCTGATGGATGGCTCTTCAGCCTCCACTGGACACATATCTGATGAGGACGACTCCCTTCGTTGTGAGGCAGTCAATTTGATTCTTCGACTATTTATTTTTTATTTTTTATTTTTTCAAAGCATATATATATATTTTTTATTAAAGTTTTAGGGTACATGTGCACATTGTGCAGGTTAGTTACATATGTATACATGTGCCATGCTGGTGCGCTGCACCCACCAACTCGTCATCTAGCATTAGGTATATCTCCCAATGCTATCCCTCCCCCCGCCCCCCACCCCACAACAGACCCCAGAGTGTGATATTCCCCTTCCTGTGTCCATGTGATTTCATTGTTCAATTCCCACCTGTGAGTGAGAATATGCGGTGTTTGGTTTTTTGTTCTTGCGATAGTTTACTGAGAATGATGACTTCCATTTTCATCCATGTCCCTACAAAGGACATGAACTCATCATTTTTTATGGCTGCACAGTATTCCATGGTGTATATGTGCCACATTTTCTTAATCCAGTCTATCATTGTTGGACATTTGGGTTGGTTCCAAGTCTTTGCTATTGTGAATAATGCCACAATAAACATACGTGTGCATGTGTCTTTATAGCAGCATGATTTATAGTCCTTCGGGTATATACCCAGTAATGGGATGGCTGGGTCAAATGGTACTTCCAGTTCTAGATCCCTGAGGAATTGCCACACTGACTTCCACAATGGTTGAACTAGTTTACAGTCCCACCAACAGTGTAAAAGTGTTCCTATTTCTCCACATCCTCTCCAGCACCTGTTGATTCCTGACTTTTGAATGATCGCCATTCAAACTGGTGTGAGATGGTATCTCACTGTGGTTTTGATTTGCATTTCTCTGATGGCCAGTGATGATGAGCATTTTTTCATGTGTTTTTTGGCTGCATAAATGTCTTCTTTTGAGAAGTGTCTGTTCATGTCCTTCACCCACTTTTTGATGGGGTTGTTTGTTTTTTTCTTGTAAATTTGTTTGAGTTCATTGTAGATTCTGGATATTAGCCCTTTGTCAGATGAGTAGGTTGCGAAAATTTTCTCCCATTTTGTAGGTTGCCTGTTCACTCTGATGGTAGTTTCTTTTGCTGTGCAGAAGCTCTTTAGTTTAATTAGATCCCATTTGTCAATTTTGGCTTTTGTTGCCATTGCTTTTGGTGTTTTAGACATGAAGTCCTTGCCCATGCCTATGTCCTGAATGGTAAAGCCTAGGTTTTCTTCTAGGGTTTTTATGGTTTTAGGTCTAACGTTTAAGTCTTTAATCCATCTTGAATTGATTTTTGTATAAGGTGTAAGGAAGGGATCCAGTATCAACTTTCTACATATGGCTAGCCAGTTTTCCCAGCACCATTTATTAAACAGGGAATCCTTTCCCCATTGCTTGTTTTTCTCAGGTATGTCAAAGATCAGATAGTTGTAGATATGTGGCGTTATTTCTGAGGGCTCTGTTCTGTTCCATTGATCTATATCTCTGTTTTGGCACCAGTACCATGCTGTTTTGGTTACTGTAGCCTTGTAGTATAGTTTGAAGTCAGGTAGTGTGATGCCTCCAGCTTTGTTCTTTTGGCTTAGGATTGACTTGGCGATGCGGGGTTTTTTTTGGTTCCATATGAACTTTAAAGTAGTTTTTTCCAATTCTGTGAAGAAAGGCATTGGTAGCTTGATGGGGATGGCATTGAATCTGTAAATTACCTTGGGCAGTATGGCCATTTTCATGATATTGATTCTTCCTACCCATGAACATGGAATGTTCTTCCATTTGTTTGTATCCTCTTTTATTTCCTTGAGCAGTGGTTTGTAGTTCTCCTTGAAGAGGTCCTTCACATCCCTTGTAAGTTGGATTCCTAGATATTTTATTCTCTTTGAAGCAATTGTGAATGGGATTTCACTCATGATTTGGCTCTCTGTTTGTCTGTTGTTGGTGTATAAGAATGCTTGTGATTTTTGTACATTGATTTTGTATCCTGAGACTTTGCTGAAGTTGCTTATCAGCTTAAGGAGATTTTCGGCTGAGACAATGGGGTTTTCTAGATATACAATCATGTCGTCTGCAAACAGGGACAATTTGACTTCCTCTTTTCCTAATTGAATACCCTTTATTTCCTTCTCCTGCCTAATTGCCCTGGCCAGAACATCCAACACTATGTTGAATAGGAGTGGTGAGAGAGGGCATCCCTGTCTTGTGCCACTTTTCAAAGGGAATGCTTCCAGTTTTTGCCCATTCAGTATGATATTGGCTGTGGGTTTGTCATAGATAGCTCTTATTATTTTGAAATACGTCCCATCAATACCTAATTTATTGAGAGTTTTTAGCATGAAGGGTTGTTGAATTTTGTCAAAGGCCTTTTCTGCATCTATTGAGATAATCATGTGGTTTTTGTCTTTGGCTCAGTTTATATGCTGGATTACATTTATTGATTTACGTATATTGAACCAGCCTTGCATCCCAGGGATGAAGCCCACTTGATCATGGTGGAGAAGCTTTTTGATGTGCTGCTGGATTCATTTTGCCAGTATTTTACTGAGGATTTTTGCATCAATGTTCATCAAGGATATTGGTCTAAAATTCTCTTTTTTTGTTGTGTCTCTGCCTGGCTTTGGTATCAGAATGATGCTGGCCTCATGAAATGAGTTAGGGAGGATTCCCTCTTTTTCTATTGATTGGAATAGTTTCAGAAGGAATGGTACCAGTTCCTCCTTGTACCTCTGGTAGAATTCGGCTGTGAATCCATCTGGTCCTGGACTCTTTTTGGTTGGTAAGCTATTGATTATTGCCACAATTTCAGATCCTGTTATTGGTCTATTCAGAGATTCAACTTCTTCCTGGTTTAGTCTTGGGAGGGTGTATGTGTCAAGGAATTTATCCATTTCTTCTAGATTTTCTAGTTTATTTGCGTAGAGGTGTTTGTAGTATTCTCTGATGGTAGTTTGTATTTCTGTGGGATCGGTGGTGATATCCCCTTTATCATTTTTTATTGCGTCTATTTGATTCTTCTCTCTTTTTTTCTTTATTAGTCTTGCTAGCGGTCTATCAATTTTGTTGATCCTTTCAAAAAACCAGCTCCTGGATTCATTAATTTTTTGAAGGGTTTGTTGTGTCTCTATTTCCTTCAGTTCTGCTCTGATTTTAATTATTTCTTGCCTTCTGCTAGCTTTTGAATGTGTTTGCTCTTGCTTTTCTAGTTCTTTTAATTGTGATGTTAGGGTGTCAATTTTGGATCTTTCCTGCTTTCTCTTGTGGGCATTTAGTGCTAAAAATTTCCCTCTACACACTGCTTTGAATGCGTCCCAGAGATTCTGGTATGTTGTGTCTTTGTTCTCATTGGTTTCAAAGAACATCTTTATTTCTGCCTTCATTTCGTTATGTACCCAGTAGTCATTCAGGAGCAGGTTGTTCAGTTTCCATGTAGTTGAGCAGTTTTGAGTGAGATTCTTAATCCTGAGTTCTAGTTTGATTGCACTGTGGTCTGAGAGACAGTTTGTTATAATTTCTGTTCTTTTACATTTGCTGAGGAGAGCTTTACTTCCAACTATGTGGTCAATTTTGGAATAGGTGTGGTGTGGTGCTGAAAAAAATGTATATTCTGTTGATTTGGGGTGGAGAGTTCTGTAGATGTCTATTAGTTCTGCTTGGTGCAGAGCTGAGTTCAATTCCTGGGTATCCTTGTTGACCTTCTGTCTTGTTGATCTGTCTAATGTTGACAGTGGGGTGTTAAAATCTCCCATTATTAATGTATGGGAGTCTAAGTCTCTTTGTAGGTCACTCAGGACTTGCTTTATGAATCTTGGTGCTCCTGTATTGGGTGCATATATATTTAGGATAGTTAGCTCTTCTTGTTGAATTGATCCCTTTACCATTATGTAATGGCCTTGTCTCTTTTGATCTTTGTTGGTTTAAAGTCTGTTTTATCAGAGACTAGGATTGCAACCCCTGCCTTTTTTTGTTTTCCATTGGCTAGGTAGATCTTCTCCATCCTTTTATTTTGAGCCTATGTGTGTCTCTGCACATGAGATGGGTTTCCTGAATACAGCACACTGATGGGTCTTGACTCTTTATCCAGTTTGCCAGTCTGTGTCTTTTAATTGGAGCATTTAGTCCATTTACATTTAAAGTTAATATTGTTATGTGTGAATTTGATCCTGTCATTATGATGTTAGCTGGTTATTTTGCTCGTTAGTTGATGCAGTTTCTTCCTAGTCTCCATGGTCTTTACATTTTGGCATGATTTTGCAGCGGCTGGTACCGGTTGTTCCTTTCCATGTTTAGCGCTTCCTTCAGGAGCTCTTTTAGGGCAGGCCTTGTGGTGACAAAATCCTCAGCATTTGCTTATCTGTAAAGTATTTTATTTCTCCTTCGCTCATGAAGCTTAGTTTGGCTGGATATGAAATTCTGGGTTGAAAATTCTTTTCTTTAAGAATGTTGAATATTGGCCCCCACTCTCTTCTGGCTTGTAGGGTTTCTGCTGAGAGATCCGCTGTTAGTCTGATGGGCTTCCCTTTGAGGGTAACCCGACCTTTCTCTCTGGCTGCCCTTAACATTTTTTCCTTCATTTCAACTTTGGTGAATCTGACAATTATGTGTCTTGGAGTTGCTCTTCTCGAGGAGTATCTTTGTGGCGTTCTCTGTATTTCCTGAATCTGAACGTTGGCCTGCCTGGCTAGATTGGGTAAGTTCTCCTGGATAGTATCCTGCAGAGTGTTTTCCAACTTGGTTCCATTCTCCCCATCGCTTTCAGGTACCCTAATCAGACGTAGATTTGGTCTTTTCACATAGTCCCATATTTCTTGGAGGCTTTGCTCATTTCTTTTTATTCTTTTTTCTCTAAACTTCCCTTCTCACTTCATTTCATTCATTTCATCTTCCATCACTGATACCCTTTCTTCCAGTTGATCGCATCGGCTCCTGAGGCTTCTGCATTCTTCACGTAGTTCTCGAGCCTTGGTTTTCAGCTGCATCAGCTCCTTTAAGCACTTCTCTGTATTGGTTATTCTAGTTATACATTCTTCTAAATTTTTTCAAAGTTTTCAACTTCTTTGCCTTTGGTTTGAACGTCCTCCCGTAGCTCAGAGTAATTTGATCGTCTGAAGCCTCCTTCTCTCAGCTCGTCAAAGTCATTCTCCATCCAGCTTTGTTCCATTGCTGGTGAGGAACTGCATTCCTTTGGAGGAGGAGAGGCACTCTGCTTTTTGGAGTTTCCAGTTTTTCTGTTCTGTTTTTTCCCCGTCTTTGTGGTTTTATCTACTTTTGGTCTTTGATGATGGTGATGTGCACATGGGTTTTTGGTGTGGATGTCCTTTCTTTTTGTTAGTTTTCCTTCTAACAGACAGGACCCTCAGCTGCAGGTCTGTTGGAATACTCTGCCGTGTGAGGTGTCAGTGTGCCCCTGCTGGGGGGTGCCTCCCAGTTAGGCTGCTCGTGGGTCAGGGGTCAGGGACCCACTTGAGGAGGCAGTCTGTCCATTGTCAGATCTCCAGCTGTGTGCTGGGAGAACCACTGCTCTCTTCAAAGCTGTCAGACAGGGACATTTAAGTCTGCAGAGGTTACTGCTGTCTTTTTGTTTGTCCGTGCCCTGCCCCCAGAGGTGGAGCCTACAGAAGCAGGCAGGCCTCCTTGAGCTGTGGTGGGCTCCACCCAGTTGGAGCTTCCTGGCTGCTTTGTTTACCTAAGCAAGCCTGGGCAATGGTGGGCGCCCCTCCCCCAGTCTCGCTGCCGCCTTGCAGTTTGATCTCAGACAGCTGTGGTAGCAATCAGCGCGACTCCGTGGGCGTAGGACCCTCCGAGCCAGGTGCGGCATATAATCTCGTGGTGCGTCGTTTTTCAAGCCTGTCGGAAAAGCGCAGTGTTCGGGTGGGAGTGACCCGATTTTCCAGGTGCCCTCTGTCACCCCTTTCTTTGACTCGGAAAGGGAACTCCCTGACCCCTTGCGCTTCCCAAGTGAGGCAATGCCTCGCCTTGCTTAGGCTCGCGCACGGTGCGCGCACCCACTGACCTGCGCCCACTGTCTGGCACTTCCTAGTGAGATGAGCCCGGTACCTCAGATGGAAATGCAGAAATCACCGTCTTCTGCGTCTCTCACGCTGGGAGCTGTAGACCGGAGCTGTTCCTATTCGGCCATCTTGGCTCCTCCCTCCTCTTCAACTATTTTTAATTGGTAAATAATTTTCCTTTCATTGAAGAAATGTCTCTTTCTGTATCTCCTTATGGGTACTAATTCTGCTTGTTGGGGCTATGGGAGCCTCCACGGTCTTGCCCTTCACATTTTAAAAGCTGCCATTGTCTCTCCTTTTAGTCTTCCTTTAGGAAGGTAAATAGACTCAATCTGTTTCACCATTCTCTACATTGCATAATGTTCAGGCCTATGGTGCTGATATCTCTCTGAAAGGATGGCTTCCAGAAAGTGAGCAGATGTGATTTTACAGAGTGTGATAACCTCTCCTGAGTGTGGGTATGTTCTTATTATGTTAGCCTAAGTTTTCATTACTTAAAAATATATCTTCATATTTTTGGATAAAGTTGAGCTAAAGTGAAATAATGTTCACAGTTTTCTTTCATACAAACTATCTCTAACATAAAAGTATAGCAGAATATGCTTGTAAATTAATGTTCTTAAGCTAAATTTAGGCCATTATATTGATCTCTGTTAAATTTTTTTTTTTTTTCATTTCATTGAGGAGAGTTTGAATTTTGATTGTTAAACAAATGAAGCAATAAATCCACCATTTATTGACTCCCTTCCACATGCTAGATGCTGGTGTTAGAAATCACAAAATCTAATGGAAGTTTTATATCATAAACATTTGATAAGGTTATTAAAGAGTTATAATAAAATATGTGACAAGTAGGACACTTGTATATTCTGTAGCCCAGAGAAAGTCTGTGAATTTTTAAAAATAAGTTAAATTATGATTCTTGAATTGAGTACTAATATATGAATAGGAGTTTCTCAGGATAAGTGGGTAAGACTACTATAAACAGGTGCTCAAATATTAAAAATGTACAAATGTGAAAGAGTCAAATAAAAGAAACACTGAAAAGTATTCATTGGAGTTAGCAAGTTCATTGGCAACTTTAAGAGCAGTTTCATTGGAGTCATGACTGCAACAATCAGGTTTCACAGTTAAGATCTGGACACTAAGTAAGGAAAATAGCTTTGAAAAAGCTTGGTTATAAAGTAATTTGCACATGGGAGTGAAGGTGGTGGTTTACAATAGAAGAAACCTGAGTTTGTATGAAAGCTGATAAGCAGCAGCCAGTTAGGAAGAGGGAACCTAGAGGAGCTAGAAGGCACACCTGATAGGGCAAGGATCAATTAGTTTTTGCTGCTTAGTTAACTACTCCAAAACTTTGTGGCTTAAAGCAACACATACTGATTATTTCTCACAAATCTGTAAACTGGGCAGTTATTTCGGTCTCAGCTGCTGAGATGGCCTCTGAGCTCAGCTGGTGGCTTGTCTGGGTTGAATTGTGTAAGAAGATCTCTTACGACTGACAGTTGGCTCAATATCAGCTGAGGCAATGACCAGGCCATGTGTCTATCATCATTCTACAGGCTAGCCTGGGATTATTCACTTGGAGATGGTGGTAGGATTCCCAAGTGCAGCAAGAGAAGGCAAATTTCAATGCCCAAGCTCTTTCCAAAACTCAGTTTGCATCACATTTGCTATTGTCCCAATGGCCACAGCATGTCTCATTGCCAAGTGGAGAATCACCATGTAAGGGTATGGATACTGGGGGATATGGATCATTGGAGATCATTGCTGCTACTGTTTATCATAGTAGAGATGAGATGTCTGTCTTATGAGAAGGGAGGCTTGGACAGACGGAAGGGCATAATGTAAGGATGGCTCTTAAGGTAGTTAACTCTGTGGGTAGGAGGGCATTAGGTTGAGGGAGTTTATTACTCATAGCTTCTTTTTCCTCTTTGAAGTGGGAGACTGTGTCATCTCCTGGTATGAAGGGAGTAAAGATATGAAAGGGGATTTAAGGAGAGTCATGAAATACTTTCCCTAAAGTCTGAAATACTTTGAAATACTAGAGTCATGAAATACTTTGAAATATTAGAGAAAGGTGACAGAGTTGATCAGAGACGTGAAAAATGATTGCCAATAAATATTGAAAGTCCTTTTTAAAATTTGAAAACCACAGAGTTGTAGTAGTGTCAGTCTAAAGGTTGTTTTCATTTTCTTCCAGCTGGGCTTAATAACTTTATTATAGAAATGGAGAAGATATAAGGTTGAATAGATCCAAGGTCGGAATTTTACAAGATAAGTGAGTGTTGTTGAGGTGGGACGCTTGGTATGGTATGGAACAAAACCAGGAGGGGGAGGCCATATGCTAAATAGAGTCAAGAGGTTTTTGGTCCTGACAAATTCAAAGTGCCAGTGTTGTGGGACACAGGGAACTGGAAAAGGGAAGTCCATGATCACCGTAGGCTGTTGGAGCTTATGCTCACAGAGATGAAGCAGTGCTGGATTAGCCATGAAGTAGGTTTTACTGAAGTGAGGTGTGGGTGAAGGTCATTCATGAGGAATGTAGTGGAGCAGGAAGGTTTATAGTATATGTAACATCCATGTGGATCTTGGAGTTTCTCAGGAACAGGATAATAGGAGTTGAAATTAAAAGAAAGACTAAGAACCACCGGTTACAAACTCTATCACCCATGTCTAGGGAATGTTTTCAGACTGTCCTCTTCTTAGTGGAGATGATGGAGGCAACATAGGCCTTAGGTGAGACTTTTGTCTTTCTGTTTTCTGTAAATATTAGAAACCTTTTGTAAACAGTTGCTATTTCATTTCCTTTTGAGGGGTTTCCCTTTTATCAGAGTTTTAAAAGTCCTTTTGATGACTGAAATTTTTTCTAAGCCTCAGTGCATCTGGGTTTAAACCTTTGTTACATCTTTCCAACAGATGTAAGCTCCTCCCTTTCCTTCATTTATTTTCACATTAGTGCCCTTATTTCCAGCCTTTACATAGGTCGTTTTGAAATCTGAGTTCATCTGAAATGAACCCAGACATTGGCCCTAGATAATAATGTGGGGCAATGTAACTTGATTGATTTCTGTAAATGTATCTCAATTTTCTCATTCTTGGGACCACATTCTCTTCTAGAATTTTTGCTCCTGGGCTGCTACCTGCTTTTTCTCTGAACTTAAAGAAAAAAAAAAAAAAAAGGAAAAAATTTGCTTGCAAATTCTGGGGTTGATATCTGACAATGATAGCTTTCTTTACTTTTTATGCATGAAAAACGCACACATAATCAGTTTTTCCTAAAGCTTACAAAAAACCATAAACTTTGTAATCAAATAGATCTAAATTTAATCCTAGCTTTACCATTTATTATTTGGGAATCAATGAGTAAGATATCCTTCAAATCTGAATTATTATTTATCAAATGGATGGAGGAATAAAACTGCTGTTCTTGTTGTGATAATAACCTGAAATAATGTAAATCTTCCATGTGTAAAGTCTGGCACAAAATAGACACAAAGTAAGTGTTAATTGCCAACTCTGTTCTCAGTCTCGATCATTTATTTCTTATTAGTCAAATTTAAGTCCAGATATTATGTTTTTTCTAACTTTATAACTATTCTAAGTTAAACTTCAATAAGATAAAAAAATGAAAAAATTTCAAGGACTGATAAATGTGAATGTAAAAGAGAGTAAAACATGTCATTAATTTTTTAGCCTTAAATTGATGCTTGGAAATATTATTGCAAGCATTACTACTACATTTGAAAGGACGCGTGGAATGATAGGAAAGGCCTAGGAAGACAATCCAGCTATAATATCTCCAAACAGATTGCCACAGCTTCTGAAATTTTCTATACTTATTGAAGTTTAGACATTGTCTATGAAAACTACTATGAAATTAAAGCACGTTATCACCCATTATCAGGAATTAGAGTATAATGCTTAACAATGAGTAAGGTTCTAGAAAAGAGGAGATGGGACATCAGATATATTTTTGAAGGAGAGGTAAAGGAGAAGTCTGAAGTATTTGACTTTGTGTAAGTGGAAAATATAATGGCTAAATACTATTGCCATTATCTGTGCTTCTTACTACAATTTAAGTAAATGTTAGAGTTTCTAGCTAAAATATACAATTTTGAGGGGAAAGAAATGGTAGAAATGGAATTTTTTGGCAAAGTATCAGTGGTCTTGACCTTGCTCCTGGGTGGACAGGCAAGAGACCCCCTCCACTACCTCTAAGATTTCATGTTTTTTCCTCTCCATGTTGAAATGTCTGTGAAACTATTAATTGTCCATCAAATAGAAAATAGATGAAACCTCACTATAATAATAAAGCATTTGCTTCTGCTAATTTTTATGTGAAAATAGGATGTGTGATTATGGATCTTTAGACAATCTTGATTTGGGATCAAAGAGTACAACTCTGTCATGAATTTGGAGCCAGAGTACCTGAGTGGAAAGCCTGGTGGGTTTCCTTGGCCAAATTACACCCTGATCTGCATCTTCCTCTTATGTAAAAGAAGGCAAAAACACTGGCTTTTAGGATAGCTGTGTAGGGTCTGTCTCATGGGTTTGGGGGCTGAGGTGGGAGTGATTGGGTGAGGCAGCAAGACCCTTGAACCCAGATGTCATTTTCTCAAAAGACCTCACATTGATCTCTCTCTCTCTTTCTTTTTTTTTTTGTTTTTGAGACAGGTTTTCACTCTGTCACCCAGGCTTGAATGCAGTGGTGACATCTCGGCTCACTGCAACCTCCACCTCTGAGGCTCAAGCCATCCTCCCATCTCAGCCTCCTGAGTAGCTGGGACTACAGGCACATGCCAAGACACCTGGCTAATTTTTGTTATTTTGTTTTTTTTTTGGTAGAAATGGGGTTTTGCCATGTTGCTCAGGCTGGCCTTGAACTCCTGTGTTCGAGTGATCTGCCTGCTTCAGCCTCCCACAGCATTGGGATTACATGCATGAGCCTCCACGACCTGGCCACATTAACTTTTTTGATATCTCTAAAATAATTATTTTGTATTCAGTTGCAGGGATGTACTGACACAATTCAAAGAACATCTATTAGTTTGGATGAGGTTAGATTAGACTGTAGTAAAGAGGCCCAATAATAGCTGTGGTTAAAAGAAGAAAGACATTTTCTTTCTGACATAGCAGTTTCAAGGCAGTGTGCTGCTGTGGAATGCAGGGTCATTGAAGGATCCGGGTTCTTTCCATCATGTTTCTCTGTCATTTCTTAGTGCCCCACCATCTTCCATGGTTGAGATTGGATCACAGTGGTTTCCAAGAGTGGAAAGGAGAGAATGGAGTCAGCACACACATAGTCCTGTGGTCTCCCAGCTGTGTCACACAGCGCATTCACATTTCACATTCCTTTAGGGGGAATTTAGTTGCACAGGTCAGATTTATTGGGAAGGAGTGTGGGAACTATGTAAGTAGAAAGCCTTGTCCAGCTGCAGTTCTCTCAGTTCTACCTAAAGGGAAGAACAGATTTTTTGGGGGACAGCTGATATTCTCTACCACAAAATATATTATTATTAATTATTATTATTATTTTGAGACAGTCTTGCTCTGTTGCCCAGGCTGGGGTGCAGTGGTGCCATCTCAGCTCCCGGGTTCAAGTGATTCTCATGCCTCAGCCTCCTGAGTAGCTGGGATTACAGGCATACACCACCACACTGAGCAAGTTTTGTATTTTTAGTAGAGATGAGGTTTCACTGTTGGACAGGCTGGTCTCGAACTCTTGGCCTCAAGTGATCCACCCACCTTGGCCTCCCAAAGTGCTGGGATTACAGGAGTGAGTCATCATGCCTGGCCTGGAATATATTCTTACTACAATTTCAATCGTGTCCCATTTCCAAGCCAAAACATCTATAGTGCACTATGAATATATTTTTAAAATTCTATGAATTATTTTAAAAACAGCACTATTACAGTTTGTTGTTTGTATGCATGTTGAAAGTGAAAATTTGTGCCATTTAAATGTTAAAAATATATGATAATTTTTGTAACCTTAGTTTGAGATGTATTTACCTTT
The DNA here is from genome assembly GCF_000001405.40 of Homo sapiens. Classification (NCBI taxonomy): domain Eukaryota; kingdom Metazoa; phylum Chordata; class Mammalia; order Primates; family Hominidae; genus Homo; species Homo sapiens. Next base: position 110,882,698 of record NC_000004.12, read on the forward strand.
ATATGTTGAGGAATTTAAAAATGGACATGACTCAGGCCTCAAATTCTGAGAAGACTTCTTTCTATGAAGATCAAAGCAATAACTAAAAATGGTTTTTAATCCATAAAGTGTCACACAAATGTGGGGTCTTCTGATTATCTTGCATTCCTGATGTAGGGTAGGCTCAAATTTTACACCAACATTTCAAGCGCTTTGTTCAGGGGGATGCCGCGGTGGGTCTCTAGGGGGTCAGGAGGATGGTGCTAAGGGCTGATGTGAGAGTGGGGATAGTTTCACAAAAGAGCACTTGGCCTACTTCACAATTTCCCACCAAATGTTAACGCTATTTGTTGGTCTCTGATATTTCAAAATAAAATGAAAGGAGATAATATATTAGGAATGGTTTCATCCATTCTAGGACTTTCTTTTTATGAATTAGATGTGTCCATTTAGAAAGAATAAATTAGGGACAAACAATCACGGCAAAAATATTACGGATGAGGAGGAATGGGACCCAGAGCAGAGGGCAATGTTAAAAGGCTCAGGCAGACAGTACAAATCTGAATCTTGGCTCCACTCTTTATATTTTGAGTAGCCTAGGTAAGTAAATCTGCCTCTCATCTGTAAAATGAGGATAATGGTGTTTTGCTCATTGGCTTGGTGTGAGGATTAAATGAAAGCGTGCGTGCAAAAATGCCTCAAGTTGCTTCATGCATATTAAATATTCAGTAAATGTAGACTACTGTTTAACTCTCTGTATGAAGGTTCTCTAGAGGGACAGAACTAATGGGAGATATATTATATATATGTGTATAAATATATATGTGAATATATATATTCACATATATATGTGAATGGGAGATATGTGAATGGGAGAATATGTGAATGGGAGAATATATATATTCACACATATATATTCACATATATATGTGAATGGGAGATATTCACATATATATATCTCCCATTCACATATATATATATGTTCACATATATATATGTTCACATATGTATATCTCCATATATATATCTCCCATATATATATATCTCCCATATATATATATCTCCCATATATATATATCTCCCATATATATATATCTCCCATATATATATATCTCCCATATATATATATCTCCCATATATATATATCTCCCATATATATATATCTCCCATATATATATATCTCCCATATATATATATCTCCCATATATATATATCTCCCATATATATATATCTCCCATATATATATATCTCCCATATATATATATCTCCCATATATATATATCTCCCATATATATATATCTCCCATATATATATATCTCCCATATATATATATCTCCCATATATATATATCTCCCATATATATATATCTCCCATATATATATATCTCCCATATATATATCTCCCATATATATATATCTCCCATATATATATATCTCCCATATATATATATCTCCCATATATATATCTCCCATATATATATATCTCCCATATATATATCTCCCATATATATATATATCTCCCATATATATATATATATCTCCCATATATATATATATATCTCCCATATATATATATATCTCCCATATATATATATATCTCCCATATATATATATATATATCTCCCATATATATATATATATATATCTCCCATATATATATATATATATATCTCCCATATATATATATATATATATCTCCCATATATATATAAATGTAAACTTTGTAGAAAGTTTACAAAGGCCAGTGCAGGCTTAAAAATAAATGTGTTATTCCAAATGAGTCAATGAAAATAGAAACATTAATTTACTTAACCAGAGATGTCTCAATCACAGGCTGAAAAGGTACTACCAAGAACCTTGAAAATGTATGGCTATGTAAACACTTCATCTAGCCTGATATAGCAATGCATATGATTCCATGAAAACTCTACCCAAGATATTTTAAAACACATTTTATTTATAACAAATCCATTTCCAAGTAAGAAAACCAATAACTGGAGGATAAATGTGATATATTTTTTCTTTAAACTTAGATTAATCCCTGACTTTCTCTTCATATACATGTCACAAGATGTATGACATACATATATATATATATGAATGAAGGGGAGTTTATTAAGTATTGACTCAAAGGATCACAAGGTCCCACAATAAGCTGTCTGCAGGCTGAGGAGCAAGGAGAGCCAGTCCGAGTTACGAAACTGAAGAACTTGGAGTCCGATGTTGGAGGATAGGAAGCATCCAGCATAGAAGAAAGAGGTAGGCTGGGAAGCTAGGCCCGTCTCTGTTTTCACATTTTTCTGCCTCCTTGTATTCTAGTCACGCTGGCAGCAGATTAGATTGTGCCCACCAAGATTGAGGGTCGGTCTGTCTTTCCCAGTCCAGTGACTCAAATGTTAATCTCCTTTGGCAACACCCTCGAAGACACACCCAGGATCAATACTTCGTATCCTTCAATCTAATCAAGTTGACACTCAGTATTAACCATTACACTCTCTAAAACAAAGCACCATTTCCATGCAATAGCCATAACTCTGTGCCATTCTACTCTATCTATCTATACAGTAGAGAAGTAGAAACTGTGAACTTATTCAGCATGTACCTGGTAGATATTCCACTCAGCTGATTGTTGATTCTGGTGATGATCATGTAAGTGGCCCATATTAACTCCAATATCATAATGACTTTACACTCAGTTGACAGTTTTCCATGTGTACCATGACTTTTCCCAATATTCCAAGACCTGATTTTGTTGAGACCTTCATATTCTAGAACTTAGATGTGGATTTTAATTAAGGTGGTATTTAATTGCAATTTAATTGAAATGTAGATTTAATTGAAAATATAAAATAACAGGAAGTGATGAAGGTAATTTGAATATTATTTGTAACAAGTTTGATACTAATTTAGGAAGAACTTGTGGACTAAGTCTTTGAAAAATTAGCAGAGTTTAGATAGGTAGGTCTCAGGGACAGAGGAGAGCACAGCATGTAAGTTTGGTGAGTGAGGGTCTGAGAGATGGTACTGATGGCAGGCCTATATAAGACAGAAGTAGGGAAGAATGACGGATATTTGAGTTGGGGGCAGGTGATGAAACAAATGATAGTCACAGAATGAATTATTCTCCTGCAGATAGATGATGATGATGATAATACCATGTAAGAATTCAAGACTGATGCATAAAGACAAAAAGAACTAGAACATTCTTTTGAGAAAACCAGTTCCATGAAGCAAATAGTTGTTAGACTTCTTTAAACTTCATACATCTTGTGACATGTATATGAAGAGAAAGTCAGGGATTAATCTAAGTTTAAAGAAAAAATATATCACATTTATCCTCCAGTTATTGGTTTTCTTACTTGGAAATGGATTTGTTATAAATAAAATGTGTTTTAAAATATCTTGGGTAGAGTTTTCATGGAATCATATGCATTGCTATATCAGGCTAGATGAAGTGTTTACATAGCCATACATTTTCAAGGTTCTTGGTAGTACCTTTTCAGCCTGTGATTGAGACATCTCTGGTTAAGTAAATTAATGTTTCTATTTTCATTGACTCATTTGGAATAACACATTTATTTTTAAGCCTGCACTGGCCTTTGTAAACTTTCTACTAAAAGAGAAAATGGTGGTTCATCATCTTGATTTTTATGCTAGCAAGCACCGAGAAGCAGGGAAGATTTCCTTTTCTTGTATTTCACTGTGGCACCCACTGATCTACACCTGGCACTCTGTAATACGCATGTGTCGTAGATTATACCCGATGAAAGGTCCTGTGCTGTCATCCTAGCCCATACTCTGTCATATCAACCTGTTGGCAAATTATAGCTGTTACTCCCGCCAAATTAGTCAGCTGCAATGGAAACATCAATCTAAGATGTGTGCTTTCTGTCGTAGAATAAAAATTAGAGAGGTGATATGATTGTCACACATGTGAATGTAAGTTTTAGATTTAATAGCCACTGCAGTAGAGGCACAGGAAGAGGAAAAGGCTGGGAGAGACATTTTTCATTTTATTAACATATAAAAATGGTTACTTTTCTTAAAACAAAAATAAATTAAAGCAAATACTGGAGTCCTCTTTTTTTTAATTTTTCTATTTTTGTTTTGTTTTTGAGATAGAGTTTCGTTCTTGTTGCCCAGGTTGGAGTGCAATGGCGCGATCTCGGCTCACTGCAACCTCCACCTCCAGGGTTCAAGGGATTTTCCTGCCTCAGCCTCCCGAGTAGTTGTGATTACAAGCACCCACCACCATACCCAGCTATTTTTTTCTTTTTTGTATTTTAATTTTTTTAGTAGAGACAGGGTTTCACCATGTTGGCCAGGGTGGTCTCAAATTCCTGACCTCGTGATCCATCCGCCGTGGCCACTCAAAGTGCTGAGATTACAGGCGTGAGCCACCGCCCCATGTGCCTGGAGTCCATTTAAACGGAAAAGTCATGTCTTCTTTAAATATATATATATATATATATAAATTTCCTTCTTCAGTCACGTAATGATAGTTCATCTTTATTTTGGTGGATATCCATTGATTTTGACATTCTCTGCTTTTTTATGTTTTAGAGTCTGTGTTTGGTGCTAGGTTAAATATTATTCTTTTCTTGCATTTCTCCATGAATATCTACTTGAGTTTTGAATTTGAACATATCCAGTTTTTTAAAAAAATTAAAAGAGGAATATTTTGGAGGAGAAGGCAACTGCTTTTCATCTCAGTAAATTCAGAAAACAACACTAACGTGTTTTGTAAATACTGACTTAAAAATAGGAATGAAGGAATAAATTTGAGAGATTTCTAAAGACTCTATTAAAACATTTGTTAACACAAGCCTTGTTTACTTCACACAATTAATGTATAATTTAATATCTATTTTTAAAAGGTAAAATTATTACTCTCATCTGATATAAGATGACCATACATCAAAAATTTTACTTAACTAACGCCTGTAATCCCAGCACTTTGGGAGGCCGAGGCGGGTGGATCACGAGGTCAGGAGATCGAGACCATCCTGGCTAACAAGGTGAAACCCCGTCTCTACTAAAAATACAAAAAATTAGCCGGGCGCGGTGGCGGGCGCCTGTAGTCCCAGCTACTCGGGAGGCTGAGGCAGGAGAATGGCGTGAACCCAGGAAGCGGAGCTTGCAGTGAGCCGAGATTGCGCCATTGCAGTCCGCAGTCCGGCCTGGGCAACAGAGCGAGACTCCGTCTCAAAAAAAAAAAAAAAAAAAAAAAAAATTTTACTTAACTAAAACAATTTATTTAACTGATTAATTTATGAGAAAGCCAGTGGGATATATAGCAAGATTAAAAGAGAAATCAAAGTACCACACTCTTATTGTCAGATTAGGAATGCTGCAATAAATTCGCAAATGAATGCCAAACTGGCAAAACTGGTCAATATCTATAGAACAATAATCAACTGCATTTCACAGAAACAATTTACATTTCTATAGGCAGGAATTATTTGTATTACTATCAAATTTCTACAAGTGTTCTACAAGTTAATGTCCATCACTACAGTTATAAAATAGCCTGCTCAAAGACTAAAATTGTGTAAAATTTTGCACATCCCTAAAATTGGGCATATAAAGGTACACAACTCAAAAGTATCAGACTGTATCATTCTATTAAAAGGATAGCCTGTAACCTCTTGCTCATTTGAAAAATTTACACATTTTTTTCCTATACTAGATACAGAGAAAACAAAATATTAATAAATAGTTTTGAATACTGAAAAAGTTAAGCAATCATAGTGATGGTGGTTATTCAGAAGCTGAATGAACATCAAGTTGTTCCTTGTTCAATTCTGTCTCTTCATTATTACTTCATCATGTATGTATTTCCCTGATTCTACCTTCTACCTTTATCAATCCCGAATAAAATAATCTATGATCTGAAACCAGGTACTAATAGTGAGATCAAATGAAATGACAACATAAAAGGCCATTGCAAACAGGTCAGAAAAAAGAGAAAAGGCAAGTAGAAAAATGACTTGAAAGGGTATGTGTTCATTTATTCTTTTATTTGATAAACATTTATGTAGCAAGCATCACACAATATGCTGTGATCAAAGATAAAAGATAAGCCTTGACCTTGAGGATTTCTTAGATTTGTAAAGGAGAAAAATAATCAGCCTATAGTAACAAAAATATATAAAACTGTCTGATACTTTCTTGAGGATATGAAGAAAATTACTTTTTTCCATTGTGTATATTAGCGTATCAAATATGAAATAGTTCAGAATTTTATTTTTATTGTTTGGTCTTGTGTATATTTTACACAAGAGAAAAAATTAGTTTTTACCATTGTGTATATTAGTGTATCCAGTATGGAATAGTTTAGAATTTATTTTATCTTTATTGTCTGATATTATATTGAAAGGTTTAGAGCAAGATCCTAATTTTACTTTAATTTTGCTTTTAATGAGTATCAAAAGCAAAAATAGTTATGTGTCTGGCATGTATAATTTAAAATTTAAAAGTGATGCTTAATTTGTGAAAGATATTAAATTAACTTCTATGATTATTTAGTGTCACAGATATTAGAATAGAAAATCTGAGACTATTCTGATCTTGGAAATTAAAGACAAGGATGGTGTTGTGTTTATTATTGATCTCTAGTACTTACCTTAGAATCTGGAACATGGCATTTATATTCCTAGTCAACATGGATCAAACACAGTTGTTTGCCCACCTTTTTCCTTGCTCAAGCCACCCCCATTTTGTTTAGGTACTGGGGAACAGCACACTCAGAAATGATGTGTCCAGCCACGTGAGGTTGATTATGGTTGGTCTAAGCTATCACAATAATCCCATTCCCTTTGTGTTGTTTCTATGCACATGGCTCATGACTGGTCTAATGGTGATCATGATGTCCCTTTTTGGACAAAGATGTAAAGAAGAGTGTGCTGAGGGCTTCTGGAAAAAAAAAAAACATTTCTAACCTGATTAACAGAGACATGAGAGGGGCCCCTCTTCTTTCCTTCTTGAAAGCTTTTGGGTGAGTTTTTGTTGTAGAAACTGTGGAAGCCATATGGTGATCAGGAGAGATCTGGGGCAATTTCAGAGAAAGTGATCCAAAGCTTTCACTCTGCTGAGTTTCTTGTTATTAGGGATGATAAACCTTATTATTTATGGCATTAAAAAACCCTTGTGGTTGGAAGTATTTTAATTTAATGTAAATTTGATGCAATTTTGAAGTTGTGATTTAAAAATTACGATGAAAATCTTTTTCTTACATGATAGTTAATACAGGGCCTCAAGATTCTACAAGCAGATTCTAAACCTCTGGTTTCTGTGATAAACTAATTAAACTGTCTTATTAGTAAACTGGGAAGAGTAGTGTTCTACAGTGAAGTTTCTTAAACATAAATATGAATGTGTTGTTCAAATAAAAACATTATAAAGCTTACAGATAATGAGCTATAGTGCCATATTTGTTCCTTCTTTTTTCCTGAAATAAAGCAGATAATTCAACAACATTTCATCACCAGTGTTTGCCAACTTTCTATGCACATGGTTCTGTAGTGAGTGCTGGTAATGTGAAAGGATAGAGATAACTTAGGGCTCATTGGATTTCATGGCTCTATGGTGCTTTACAAATATCCACTCATTTAATCCTTAATATGATCAAATGTGACTATGTGGCAGGCACTAATATATTACAAAGAAAAGGAAACTGAGGCACAGAGATGTCAAGCAACTTGCCCAGGGCTAAACAGCTGGAAAGGGTAAAGTCAGAATTTGAACTCAAGTAGCAAGGCTCTAGAGGTGTTGTCCTTTTATCCAATATGTTACTGTGTCTTTCACATGATCTAGACTATTAGATGCTATGTCCTTGCTCTCCCACTGGCCCCCATGTGGATTGCCATTCATCAACATCACCCTTATGGAAATTACTCTTACAAAAGTGACCCAAGTTTTTTTTTTTTAATTGACTTTCTTCTCCGTGTCAATGGTTTAAATCTTCCTGACCCACCTTCCCTAACAGTGTAACATTTTCCTGTACTTTTCCCTTTTCACATGGCGTTATATGCTTTTTTCTTTAACATTAATCTTTAATAACTTTTACGTTTCATACCATACCATCAGTTTTCTGAACTACATGGTAAGTTTAAGAATAAGGGTAGTGTTCCTGCCCCCATATAACCAGTATGCTCAGACTGGTACCCTCTTCAGCTTCTTCTTCAGTCTGCTGAGCACTGCCAAGGAAGACCAGCCTCAGCAAAGGCACCTCAACTCCGTGACTGGAGTGGTAGTGGGAGAGGTGGAGGTGGCCCTTTGGCTGCCTCTGGCTCTGGCTGGCTGTTTGAGGCGCAGATGTCCCAGATCAGGACAGAGGAGGCCCTGATGGCTTAGAAAATTGATATACTAGCACACCTGATCTATTAATCACTCACAGCAAT